>NC_000014.9:77035955-77187470 GCF_000001405.40 Homo sapiens | reverse complement strand
TGCCTCGGCTCAGCCCCTCGGAACCTGGTGGGGGCGGGGTGGGAATCCTAGCCTTCTACCTTCCCTGCTCCCGTGACTCGAGATGTCCTTCAGCAGAATCTGGTTCTGGGCGCCCTGCCCAGAGTGGAGGGGAAGGGGAGAAACGCACGACCTTCTCTTCCAAGTCTTTTCGTCTCAAGCAACTTCAGCAAAACCACCAGCCCCAGCAGTAAGAGGTGAGCTCAGGATGTGTCAGCTGTGCTTGGGAGGACGGCACACAGATGGCTCCCCTGGACACAGACTGGCCATGGCCCCAGTTTGGGTTCTGCTGCTTTGGTGTGTGAGTGTGGTTGCAGCTGTCACAACCTCTCAAGCCACAGCTTTCTTACCTATTGAGCGGGTGACTCAGACTTGCTTTCTCTCCCAAGGCGTGGAGAGGATTAAAGAGTAATGACAGAGAATGTGAGGCTGCTGAGTGGCTCCAGGGCCTCAAGCCAGGCTTATTGTTCAGGCTGTTGTTCTTCTGCTGCCTGAGAAGGTCTCCCCAAGCCAGGCCTAGTTGACACGCCTGGGCACATGAGGCGCCAGCCAAGGAAGGATCCCTGGTCCAGCAACAGCTTGCTCATTGTATGAAAGGACACTCCCTGCCCACACCACACAGACACACACAGACACACACACACACACACAGACACACACACACACACACACACACCCCTTTGGTTCTGAGAAGATTCCCCCTCTGCCAGGTCCTCAGGGATGTGAGAAGCCTTTTTGATTTTTTATTTTGTTTTGTTTTTTGAGACAAGGTCTTGCTCTGTCGTCTGGGCTGGAGTGCAGTGGTGCAATCACAGCTCACTGCAGACTAAACCTTCTGGCCTCAAGTGATCCTCCCACCTCAGCCTCCTGAGTAGCTGGGACTACAGGCCTGGCTAATTTTTTCACTTTTTTGTAGAGACAAGGTCTTTCTATGTTGCCCAGGCTGGTCTTGAACTCCTGGGCTCAAGCAATCCTCCCTCCTAGGCCCCCCAAAGTGCTGGGATTATAGGCATGAGCCACCATGCATGGCCTGAAGCATTTTTGAAGGTGACAGTTCAGTTCTAACAGTGCCTGGAGCAGTCGACATTGTTGGTCAGCCATTCTTGAACATTGTTTGGTGTCATCAAAAAAGCATGGTCTGGCTGGGCACGTTGGCTCACTCCTGTAATCCCAGCACTTTGGGAGGCTGAGATGAGTGGATCACCTGAGGTCAGGAGTTTGAGACTAGCCTGGCCAACATGGCGAAACCCTGTCTCTACCAAAAACACAAAGAAATTAGCCGACGTGTTGGCGCACGCCTGTAATCCCAGCTACTCGGGAGGCTGAGGCAGGAGAATCGCTTGAACCTGGGAGGCAGAGGTTGCAGTGAGCCGAGATAGTGCCACTGCACTCCAGAGTGGGCAACAGAACGAGACTCTGTTTCAAAAAAAAAAACAACAACAACAAAACATGGTCGCCATCCCAGGGGTCCCTGGACAGCTGGCCACTCAGCAAGCAGAGGGACGAGCAAATGGAAAGAAGGGGACTCCTGGTCACCAGGCCCCAAGCTGGGCACCTTTCCGCTTCCTCCCATTCATCCTTCCAGTGGCTCTGTGTGGAGGGGATTGCTTCACCATGTTGCAAATGGAAGACTCACGGAAGTGAAGTGAGCAGGTAATGAAATAGGTGGGAACGCAGCTCCCAAGTACTCCCCCAGGCAGCGTGTCCATGTATGACAGGTCCTCTGTGCTTCCATGTCCCCCATCAAAGCAGGATTGATTTCCCCACAGGGCCCTGGGTGCATGTTCCATTGCCCTCTGTAGTGTTTCTACCCTATGGCCAAATCACTGCCACTCAGACACCCTAAGGCAATGAGTCCTCAACACCCAAAACCCAATGGACAGCTGTATCCCAGCGGACTGGCCACAGCTCCATCTTGCCCACCTATCTCTCCAAAGACCTTAGGGTCACTTGCTCTTCTGCTGGGACTCGATGGCCTGAGGCCAGCATGCACCTTGCTGGGCACAACTCTGAGAAGACTCAGCCAGAGTGAGGAGAAGGCTTCTGCCTCCAGGACCTTCCTTGGCCAGGCCACTCAGTAATGGGGAGGGGACAGTTTGGTTTCCTGTTGGAAGCTGATCTTTCTGCCTCTGATCCTCTAAGGACACCAGAGGCCCTGGCTTGGCAGGAATGAAGGTCTACAGGCACAGGGCTGGGCATGACTCACTCACCTCCAGCCCAGCTCTTCCCATCTCATCTTGAGGGTGCTCGTGTCAAATGGCAGAGTGAAAGGCTGGGAAAAGCAGAAGGTGGGAGCCCAGGACACTTGGGTCCTAGTCCTAGCTTTCTAAGCAGGTCTATGCTTCGGTTTCCCTTTGGGGAGCATTACTAATGACTACAAGGAGGCAGGAGGTGACAATGAGGCGCCCCTTCCCCGCCCACTCTGCCTCTGCATGTCTCAGCACCAGCCCCAGGGGTGTTGGCAAGGAATGTGGCAGCTTGAGTACATATCCTGCCCTAGAAACACAGAACATGGAGTCCTGGCCACACGTTGTTCTTCTTAAGAGCCACCCTCAGTTGGGCCTAAGCAATGCAGACAGATCTAGAGCAAGGACACACCATACTTCGTGAGCTGCCCACGTTCTCATCTCAGCTCCTCCTGTAACCCTACCTTGCAGGAGTTGCACCAGCCAACTCATGGGCAAGAATGTGGAGTTCCATTTACACCACCCATGCTGATGTGTAAGCTGTGAAAACCACTGCTCTCCCACGAGAGGAAAGAAGAGTGAGCATTGGGGCCCCACCTCAGGCAAAACAGGGCACTAAAAGCTGCTGATCTCACTGGAAGCTGAGCACTTCCTCTGAGCACTTTCATTACAGCCTTTCCCAGTGTGAGCCTGCCCATGGCCTGAGCACCACGTGGGTTCCTGCAAACTGGACGCTCTGTGCAAACAGCTCCCAGCACTTTACACCCATTATCTTTATGGTTCTTCCACCCGCCTCTTCCCAGGAAGAATCAGAGCAGAGGTCGTGGAATTCGAGAGTTGAGGCAGTGGGGAGGGTACAGGCCTGTAGGAAGCTCCACGGTGCCACTAGACACCTGCATTTTCGGGGGTGAACATCCTGTTAAATATGTTAACTATAATGGGCAGCTGGGGATGGAGGGGATGAAACTCCTCAAGGGCCCAAGCACAACTTGAAGCGGGCTGGGGAGGGCTGACCTGCCTTCCCAGCCTAGAAGGATGCCCTAGGCTGGCCGCAGAGGGAGAGAGCATCCTCTGAAGAAGAAATGACCATGTTTCCCCCATCAAGGCAGGAAACAGATGGCTTCCACCTAGACCAGAGACTCCAGGAATAATACTTCCCATTTGTAATAAACACTTGACAAGTTTCCAAAGCCCTCCCACCCATCTGGAGAAGGTGTTTTCATGCCTAGCTATCAGGTAGAGATGCTGAGGGCAGAGTGCCTGCCGATAGAGGCACTCGGTCCAGCTCTCTGCTCTTTAAGTCTGGTTCTCACCACGGGGCCTCTCTGAGGCCTGACCCTTTCTCTGCTAGCTGGGAGGGACACATACCATGTGGTTTCCCTCCAGTATGGTGGGCCCTCTCCTCTCTGGTGCTATATTGTCACCCCACAAGCAGCTAGTTCTCATCTGGTTTACTGGGAACCCCATCCCTTCCCACAGGTCACCCCAGCAGCTCCTGGTGGTCATCATGCAACCCAAGGCTCCTGTGAAGCCAGCAGGGGCCAGCGTCAGGGGTTCTGTGCTCAGAGGGTGTCTGAAAAGGAGCAATTCATGAGCCAGGCACATGGCAACTCCTTTCACTTGGAGTAAACCGGTGCTGGCCCAAACCCCCGATCCGGAGATGCTGTCAGGGAGATAAATGAAGTCCCTCTACCTGTGGATCCCCACTCCCTGGCTATGCTCACAGCTGCTGGCACTCGGGCAGGAGGGATGCCTGTTTTTGGCTCCGATAGGCCCACAGAAATTGTGTATCCCTGTGGGGGCATGATGGGAAGGTAACCAAGAGACTTCACTTCCCGTCTTCAAGCTGCTTCCTTCCCAAGAAACTAGAAAACATATCTTAAAGGAGGAGAAAATGCTGGTGCTGTTCCCTGTCACCGACCTCCTCCACACCCATCAGGAGGCCCTTGCAGCCTCAGCTTCTCAGCGCTGGGACTGTGGGGTGCGAAGAGAAGACAGGAAGAGGCCCCTCCAGTCTGCCCTTTGGTGGCTGGGGAGTCAGAAGACCTGCATGTAGGTAAGATACCTGGAGAACTCACTCCACCCTCTGTGCCTCAGTTTCCTCATCTGGCTCTGGCTCTAAAATGTCGCTCTCTCCTTGCCTCAGTTTCCCTCCAGGGAAGGTCATCTGTCCCAGGGAGAAGAACAAGGTGAATTCACTTCTAAGGGGAAAGTTCACTTCTAAGGGCAATAGACGGAATGTAGCCCATTTCTCCCAGGGACAGGGGCCGGAGAGAGAACAAGGATAAGGTGATAACAGAGGGTGGTGCTAAGAGATGGACCCTTTCTTGAGGGAAAACACATCTTCCTGGAGCGCTGCAGGCTGTTGAAGGAGAAAGTTCATCTCCTCATTCCCATCAGCACGGGCCTTCCTCTCCTCAAAGCCAACTCTCATTCTTTCCTTGAACCCACAAGAACAGCACACGCTCACACCCCCTCTGCTCACTTAGGTGTTTTTCATGAGCAATTTTCTCCTGTCCCCAGACAATCTAATTGCTGCTTACACCCATGATACCCTGGAGCCCCATGCGGAAGTTGCAACTCCCTGCATTCTCAGGGATGAGGAAATGGGGTGCTGGGGTGGGGGGAGGTCCTGGGGTCTAGAGAGGAAGAAGGGCCCCTGCCCCTCCAGAGGGCATTCGGTGAAGGCAGTGCCTGGGAGGCCAGCTCTGTAGGGCCTGCTCAGTGACCTTGGTCAAGCCACAGCACCCCTGGGCCTCAGTTTCCCCAGGGCCTTCATCCAAACACAACGTTCCTCTCTCAAGGCCAGGGCGAGTAGGGAGGCAAGAGCCTTTCTTTGGAAGCACATGGGGAAAGGGTGGCATTGTTCCCCTGGGGGCCCAGGAGCCCAGCCCGCCAGGCAGCAGCGCAGCAGTGACGTTGTCATAACCCATAACGGCGGAGCAGACTGCCCCCTCCCGTCCCAGCCCAGAGAGTGGGCGGCAGAGCCCCGGGGAATCCCTGGGTGGGGGAGAGGGTAGCCCCGAGCGGTAACTCCCACCTGGCTGTCAGGCAGGAGGCCGGGGACCCCCCAAGCAAACCTCCTACCCACCTCCGTTCCCCCAACCCAGTGAAGACCGGTCTACTAAAGCCACGCCCTCCCGGGTGGGCGGCTCAGGCCACCCTTTCCTGGGTACAAGCTAGAGACAGCCAGCGTGGCAAGGGACTGTGGCGCAGTCTCCCCTACCCCCATCCCTCCCAATGCAAGGTCTCAGAAAGCACAGAAACAAGCAATCCTTCCCCGCCCCCTCCCCGTGCGGGACCTGGATCCGGCGCCCCTTCTTCCCGGCCCGACCAGCCCCGGTCACCGCACCCGCATCGCGTGCTCACCACATTTGCGTCCTCAGCACCGCGGCCCCAGCCCCAGGCTCGGCGCTCAGGCCGCCAGGCTGCAGTGACAGGCTCCACGCTCCCCACCTGGGAGGAGACTGCCAGCGGGTCCTCCTCCTCGCCGGCTGGGCGAAGCCAGCCCCACCTGGCAAGGGACTGTCAGCAAATTCCTCTCTGCATCACTGTGAGAGAGGCATCCCGGCTCCTCCCAAGCAGGGGCCAACCTTGGCCCCGCCCCAAAGCTTCTCTGACCTGCCGGGGAACCCAGGCTGGCAGATCCTACGCGAAGACCCAGGCTCCGCCTCAGAGACCCTGTCGCTACCAGGAACCATCTGCAAATTACTATCTCAAACACACAAGGCTGCCGGTCCCTGGTTCCAGCTTGCTCCAGCTGCCCTGATGCATTGGGCCTTGGCAGCTCCTTTGCCACCTCCCCTCGCCCTCCCTGAGGCATGTCGCCTTTCCCAGTCTCCTTAGTCCCATCAGCCAGAAGCAAGAAAAGCCACTCCACTCCCACAAAGATAGCCCTCTGCCCCGCCCAAGGACCAGGTCCTGGCACCAGCCTAGTGGCTGGTACCCAGCTGCTACCCAGACTCCTTCTACAGCAAAGGAGTGATCTACAATTGGCCACAGCCCCACCAGGGAGGGCCAAGGGAGTGAGCTGGGTCATTTCCGGTTTGCGGTGGGCCACAATCCTGCAGGTATCAGAGTTTCATCAAAGTCCTGCCCACTCTGCTATAGACACTGGTTTTGACCCCGAGGACAGGTGCCAGTGTTTGCAACCCCCAAAGACCAGTGTGCAAAACAAGGGGCAGTAGTAAACAGCCTCTCCCTCCCAGGCAGGGGCCTAGGCACATTTATGTCATCGACATTATCTGGCACTTGCAGTACAATAGCTGATGGGAAAGAAGCCACTGCCCAATGCTCTCTGAAAGTGACTCCCTTTCACCAGTTAGGGCTGTTAACAATATGATAAGAATGCCATAGAGGAAGCCCTGTGAACACAAGGTCATGAGGTGCCAGAGGAGGGGGTCAAAGGCTGGTTATGCTTTCATGGGTTGATTTCCCCATAACCAGCAGCACAGCACCCCCTTCCACACAACCGTATCAGGCTGGCGCACTCTAGTCATCTCCCTCTTCCCCTGACCCCCTGGTTCTCATGACCCAACCACCCCACGAAGACCCAAGGGTGAGCCACATAGACAGACTCTGTCGAAGTCTATCCATTATCCACTCACTCGCCCAGGCTGGAGTGCAGTGGTGTGATCTCGGCTCACTGCAAGCTCCGCCTCCCAGGTTCACGCCATTCTCCTGCCTCAGCCTCCCGAGTAGCTGGGACTACAAGCTCCCGCCACCACGCCCGGATAATTTTTTTTTTTTGTATTTTTTAGTAGAGACGGGGTTTCACCGCGTTAGCCAGAATTGTCTCGATCTCCTGACCTCGTGATTCGCCCGCCTCAGCCTCCCAAAGTGCTGGGATTACAGGCGTGAGCCACCGCGCCGGCCCACTCATTATCTTTTTCATTCACGGGACGGGAAGACTTTTGAACACGTATTCTGCAGTGGCAACAGGGCATCAGGGTCTAGGTTCCAGCCCTTGCTTAGCGGCTATCATGCTGTGCAACCTTGGGTAGCTCACTTGATCTCTCTTTGTTTTTCCCTCTCATCTGTAATTCTGAGAGGGCTGGGCTAGTTGAGGTCTCACACCCCTCTGCTCTGACACCTTTATTCTCTTCTAGGATAAAGGCTGGCGGGTACAAAGACAAATCAGATCAATACAAGAATAGTGCTGGGAACGCTAGCTGCCTGCATTTCAGTCCCAGCTGGGCCACCTAAATGTGGGACTTAACCTCTCTGTGCTTTTTTTTTTTTTTGGCATATGGAAAATGGGGGAAAACAATAATCATAAGCTTAAAGGGTGATTGTGAGGATTAAATGAAATACCATGTACAAAATAAATGCTCTGCAAATATTCATTGTTGTTGCTGTAGTTATGCTATTCACAGTCTGGTGGGACAGCATAAATTCTCAACAAAAGCAGTTCGTCTTTTCCTTCTCTGCTTCATCATCACAGAAGCTGTTGTAAGCCCATATCCAACCCACTCCACCTCCTAGAGGAGAAACCTGATAAGCATCAAGGTCATGCCGTAAAGAGAGGCCAGGTGTGGTGGCTCACGCCTATAATCCTAACAGTTTGGGAGGCTGAGGCGGGCAGATGACTTGAGGTTGGGAGTTCGAGACCAGCCTGGCCAATGTGATGAAACCCAGTCTCAACCAAAAATACAAAAATTAGTCGGGGGTGGTGGCGGGCACCTGCAATCCCAGCTACTTGGGAGGCTGAGGCAGGAGAATCACTTGAACCCAGGAGACGGAGGTTGCAGTGAGCTGAGATCATACCACTGCACTCCAGCTGGGCGACAGAGTGAGACTCCGTCTTGAAAAAAAAAGAAAGATACAGTAAAGGGGGACGGAAGCCAGGTGTGGTAGCTCACACCTGTAATCCCAGCTACCTGGGAGGCTGAGGCAGGAGGACTTCTTGAGGCCAGGAGGTTGAGACAAGCCTGGGCAATATAGAGAGACCTACATCGGAGAGGAGAGGAGGGGAGGGGAGGGCAGGAGAGGGAAGGGGAGGGGAGGGGAGGGGAAGAGAGGAGAGGAGAAAGAAAGAAAAAGAAAGAAAGAAAGAAAGAAAGAAAGAAAGAAAGAAAGAAAGAAAGAAAGAAAGAAAGAAAGAAAAAGAAAGAAAGGAAGGAAGGAAGGAAGGAAAGAAGGAAGGAAGGGGAAGGGAAGGAAGGGAGGGAGGGAGGGAGGGAAGGGAAGGAAGGGAGGAGAACCCATGGAAGGAGGAGAACCCATGGAGATGCCAGGTGGGCTGTGTGGTGGGGAAAGAGATGACCCCAATGTCCCAACCAACCACCTAGATGAGTGTCAGCTTGTAGAAGGTTCTCAGTAAAGGTGTATGGGTATGAATAACTGAGGCTTTCAAAAGAAAGGCCCTTCTGGTCTGTGACACTGAAAACACTTATCATGCTCTCACTTGTGGATTGGGGTGGGAGTGCCTTTGGCCTGAGTTGTCAAATCTGAAAGATTATGCCTGTTATTGTCTTCATGACCGCGTTGTTAACCTCCAATGTCTGGTCTGGGAACATAATCCAGAACAATATAAAAGAAACAAAAGGACTCTGAGTAACCCTTACAGTGAGCTGAGATGGCACCACTGCACTCCAGCCTGGGCGACAGAGCGAGACTCCGTCTCAAAAGAAAAAAAAAATAGACAGAGAGAGAGGTACAGAAAAGGGGGATGGAAGCCAAGTGTGGTGGCTCACACCTGTAATCCCAGCTACTTGGGAGGCTGAGGCAGGAGGATTTCTCGAGGCCAGGAGGTTGAGACCAGCCTGGGCAATATAGAGAGATCTACATCAGAAAGGAGAGGAGAGGAGGGGAGGGGAGGGCAGGGGAGGGAAGAGGAGGGGAGGGGAAGGAAGAGGAGGGGAGGGAAGAGGAGGGGAGGGAAGAGGAGGGGAGGGAAGAGGAGGGGAGGGGAGGTGAGGGAAGAGGAGGGGAGGGGAGGGGCTTTTTCTGCAGATCACCTTGTGTCTTCAATTGGTGCCCACCTTTATTTACTCCACACAAAATTTCAATAGATCCAGTGTGGCAGAGACTGCTAAGAGCCCCTTTTCTTTCCCTCTTCCTTTTTGCAGTAGAGCTCCCAAGATTAAAACCTGGATTTATGGCTCTCCTACTATAGACCACATATCCCAGAACCCCTCGAAGCCAGGTGGAAGTATGAACTAAGTCCTAGCCAGTGAGATATGAGTGGAAGTAATAGGTTTAATTTCTGGGCCACATACTTAAAAGGAAGCTGGCTGTTCTCTACTTCCTCTTTCCTCTTTGTGAAGACTGGGATGTGGACATGGGGTGGAGGGGAGGGCAGCTTTGATGATGCTGACCAGGACAACTCCCTAGAGACAGTCAAGCATCAAGGCAGGAAGAACTTGAGTCACAAGATGACCTGGAGAAGTGCCCTACAATGTTGACCACCTTGCATTTTTCTCACGGGAGAGCAATAACCTTGTAAAGTCACTATTGTCTGGTCTCTGTTGCAGCAGCTGAACCAATAGCCTAAAGGAGAAGCCACTTTCCTGATTTTCAAAACCACAGCAGATGAGCAGGAGCATGTTAGAAGGGGAAAGGACTAATAAGAAAGCAAGCACAGTGAAAAGGGCAAAAGTCAAGAGCAAGAGAAGAGAGAACAACGATTAAAAAAAAAAAAAAAAAAAAAAAGGCCGGGCGCAGTGACTCACGCCTATAATCCCAGCATTTTGGGAGACCGGGGCGGGTGGATCACGAGGTCAGGAGATCGAGACCCTCCTGGCTAACATGGTGAAACCCTGTCTCTGCTAAAAATACAAAAAATTACCCAGGTGTGGTGGCGGGCGCCTGTAATCCCAACTACTCAGGAGGGGCTTTTCCCCTTTTGCTCAGCACTTCTCTTCCTGCTGTCATGTGAAGAAAGATGGGTTTGCTTCCCCTTCCATCGTGATTGTAAGTTTCCTGAAGCCTCCCCAGCCATGTGGAACTGAGTCAATTAAACCTCTTTTCTTTATAAATTATCGAGTCTCAGGTATGTCTTTATCAGCAGCATGAGGACGGACTAACACACCACCTAATCTACCAAACATCATAGCTTAACCTACCTTAAATGTGCTCAGAATACTGACATTAGCCTATAGTTGGGCAAAATCACCTAACACAAAGCCTATTGTATAATAAAATGTTGCATATTTCAACACTTTATTATAAAATGGGCTTTGTGTTAGAGGATTTTATTTATTGAATACTGAAAATGAAAAAGAGTGGTTGTATGGATACTTGAAGTATGATTTCTGCTGAATACATATGGCTTTTGCACCATTTTAAAGTCAAAAAATTGTAAGTAGAGTCGTTGTAAGTTGGACTGCCTGTATTGATTGATCAGTGAAATTGTCTGAGATCTTAAACCAGCCCAGTGAACAACTGCAGGGACCCAACCCTCATAGTTTTGTTGAGCCTATGGTGGCCCTGGGAACTTGTCTCTGCTATTTAGAAATAATTTCCATCATAAACACTCAAGCTCACAAAGACCTACACACACAAGAATGCTCATTGCAGAATTGTTTGCAATTGCAAAAACAACAGTAACAATTAAAAAAACCTCACAACTGTGCACAGCCTACGCAAATGTACATGGGTTTTCTGTGGTACCCAGGTGAGATGTTCAGGAAAAATCAAAATGAGAGAGAAAAGGCAGGAAGTGAAAGCCACACACCAGTGTCCCTATGACCCCAAGGCCTGGTGCTGGGTGAGGCTGCTAGGCAGAGGGTAAGCAGGGGGCCATGGGGTTGGAGATGATGGGAGTCAGACCACAGATTTTACTACAAGACCCAGAATATAAACATATGCCACTGACAGGGACAGTATTTTCAAGGCAAAGCCAAGACACTATTTATACTTTAAGTGGCAAGCCACATACTCTAGGGTATCCCTGATCCCAAGAGCCAAATAAAAACTCTCTAAGAAAGTGGATACATTTTGGGAGCTCAGCTCCTATCACATGCTCTAATCTGCCTTTCCAGACAGAAGTGAATTTGTTTTCCTGTGCAGAAAGTAGTGGGGAAATGTATTGGAATGGAAAACCATTTTTCCAGTGTCTTCTGCCTGACCAGACACAGGGTTGTGGATTTCTAGAGAGAGGAAGACTTCAGGCTTAGGTCTAGACACACAGCACTGTCTCTACTTGGAAGCTGGCATTCCCCAGTGGAGGAGTCAGGCCCTATGATCACTCAGCCCTGCCACAGAAGAGAATCCAGGCTTCCCTTCTTCTGGGGCAACCCTGGCCCCTCTGCCCTCTCTTACCCCTGGCCTCAGACTGGGCCCCACTCACCAAGACCCCACCGGTGGGTATTCTTAGCCAGCAGCAATCTCTTTTACTAGTACTAGTGGAAGACGAGAAATTCACAGCTGGTAGGAGGTCATTGTTATCCACCGCCACTATCACTGAATGATATTGGAAACTTCTGGGCGGGTGAGGTCAGAAGCAGGTGTTGATGACATCACAAAAGAAACACCACTGTGTTGTGCTGGAACTCTGGGATTCTGGTACCATTTCTTCACCTAGGATTGAGCGCAACTGAGCATTTTCAGACAGATCTGGGGATTGAAGCCTGCAGAGCCTCACCTCAGTTCTATCTTGAGCCTGGCTGATGCCCTGCAGAATTAGATCCTTAAAGAATAAATGGGTTGGCCAGGTGTGGTGGCTCACGCCTGTAATCCCAGCACTTTGGGAAGCCGAGGCAGGTGAATCACGAGGTCAGGAGTTCGAGGCCAGCCTGGCCAAGATGGCAAAACCCCGTCTCTACTAAAAATACAAAAATTGGCTGGGCACAGTGGCAGGCACCTGTAATCCCAGCTACTCGGGAGGCTGAGGCAGGAGAATTGCTTGAACCCGGAAGGCGGAGGTTGCAGTGAGCCAAGACCGTACTACTGCACTCCAGCCTGGGCGACAAAGCAAGACTCTGTTCCAAAAAAAAAAAAAAAAAAAAAACACACACACACACGCACGGGTCCTTGCATTGATATTTTATTGAGGCTATAGAACTCCCCTGCTTCCCCGAGATGATACTCATGAGGCAGAAATATGGGTTTCTTCTGGGCCAGAAAGTGAAGATCTCCTCTTCAGGGCCTCATGTCCAGGCTCTTGAAATCAGCTCCGTTGTACTCCTTCCCCTGGGAGTTGGTGTCTGTTTTCAGTAATGAACCTTTTCTTTGTTGTATAAGCTTTATTAACTTTGTGAAATATAATACATATACAGAGAAGCATATACCATACGCAAGTGAGCACGATAATGAATAATCATAAAGCAAAGTCTTGTGTAGCGACACTGTTTAAGTCGATAAATAGAACATTATCACCAGAAGTTTCCCTGTATCGTTTCCCAATCCACCCCTTTCTCTTTCAGTCCCTTCCCTGCACAGAGATAGCCCTATCCTGACTTCAGTCTTTCCTTGCATTGCTTTGTACTTTTACCACCTGATTATTCATTCCTAATCAATATGGTTTGGTTTGGTCTGTATTTTGAGTGTACATTAAGAGAATTGGAGTATAAATATACTTTCATGTTGGGCTGTTAAAACTCAACATTGGTTTTTTGTTTTGTTTTTTTGAGATGGAGTTTCACTCTTGTCGCCCAGGCTGGAATGCAATGGCACAATCTAGGCTCACTGCAACCTCTGCCTCCCAGGTTCAAGCGATTCTCCTGCCTCAGCCTGCCGGGTAGCTGGGATTACAGGCGTGCGCCACCACGCCCAGTTAATTTTTGTATTTTTAGCAGAGATGGGGCTTCACCATGTTGGCCAGGCTGGTCTCAAACTCCTGACCTTAGGTGATCTGCCTGCCTCACCTCCCACAATGCTGGGATTACAGGCATGAGTCACCATGCCTGGCCTCAACATTGTGTTTTTAAGATTCATCCACACTGTGGTATGCAGTTGGAGTTTATTCATTTTCATTACTCTATTGTTTGACTGTGCCATAAATTAATCCTTCCTGGTTTGTTTGGCATTTGTTTTTATTTCCAGTTTTTTAATAGTGAGTGCTATGATTTGAATGTTTTTTGTCTCCTCCAAAATTAATTAATTGAAAAATATAGGCCAGGTGCGGTGGCTCACTCCTATAATCCCAGCACTTTGAGAGGCTGAGGCCAGCAGATTGTTTGAATCTAGGAGTTTGAGATCAGCCTGGGCAACATAGTGCGATTCCATCTGTTAGAAAATACGAAAATTAGCTGGGCATGGTGGCATGCACCTGCAGCCCTAGCTACTCTGGAAGCTGAGATGAGAGGATTGCTTGAGCCTGGGAGGCAGAGGTTGCAGTGAGCCAAAATCACACCTCTGCACTCCAGCCTGGGCGACTGAGACCCTGTCTCAAAAAAAAAAAAAAAAAAAAAAAAAAAAAAAAAAAAAAAAGAAAAGAAAAGAAAGAAAGGAAAAAGAAAAAGATGGTCAAGCAAGAACTCAATCATTTTAAACTGTTCCAGAGCATAGAAATAGAAGTAAAATGTCCACATTATTTTATACAAAGCCCTGAAATAATACACTGAAATAATACACAACAATGATTTCACACAAAAATTATTTCTTAAAAAATTTTTTGGTTGACAGGGTCTTAAGATGGCTGCCGGGCGGCTGCATCCTGACAGAAGAAAAGATGTTGAGTGGGCTAGTACCTCCTGGCCTAAATGAAAGTGATGTTGAGTCAAACTCTGAAGATGAAGCTACATTGGAGAGCTCTGGGCTTAACTTACAGGAAGATAAAGAGGATGGGAGCAACAGAAAAGCAGAAATCATAGATTTCTCAAAAGATGAAGCAAAAAGTGAAGCAGAGTCAAATGTAAATGCCTAAGAAGAGAGTCCTTCTGGAATTCCCTTAGATATGTGGAATTGAACAGTCCTCAAATGCAGCCCAGTGGAAGGAGCTTACTCAGTATGTTGGAGTCAATGATAGGTTTGACCCCCCTGTTAAAAGGAAAACCACTGAGAAGGCCTCGAAAAGAGGATAGAGCAGGCTGTGGAGGAGTGGAATATTGAGAGGGCTGAAGAACTCAGCAACTAGCTAGCTACTCGAGAGCTTGGTGTAAAAATTGCCAAAGCAGTTGTCTGCCACAAGTTTGTAAAAGCCAAAAATGGAGACTAAAAATTCACAGGGCTGCCTGAAAAAAGAAGAAACTCGCATGGGGGTTTGAAGCAAAGAAGAGATGGGCAACCAAAAGCAATGGGATATATGTAACTTGCCAGAGTGCTTGAAGACATTTATAGACTCAAATGCTCAATTTACCGAGAACGTTTTCCTGCCTGTGTTAAATGTCAGAAAATTGAGAGCACTAGAAAAGAAATAAGCATAAAATTTGGGAGTTTGATTATCAGCTCTTTTCAATCTTTCTCTAAGGACTTTGTCCCATTGAAGTGAATAAAATGAAGCATTCTGTTATTTTTATAAGAAATGTAAGAAAAAATATAGAAAAAAAGGAAAGGATTTTGTTTATTTATTTGTATAAACCCACAGTATAAAATCAGTTTTGCAGCCAGTCGCGGTGGCTCATGTCTGTAATCCCAGCACTTTGGGAAGCCAAGGTGGGTGGATCACTTGATCTCAGGAGTTCGAGACCAGCGTGGCTGGCATGGTGAAACCCCAGCAGCTGGGCATGGTGGCGCATGCCTGTAGTCTCAGCTACCAGGGAAGCTGAGGCAGGAGAATGGCTTGAACCCGGGAGGTGGAGGTTGCAATAAGCTGAGATCGCACCATTGCACTCCAGCCTGGGTGACAAAGACTCTGTCTCAAAAAAAAAAAAAAAAAAAATCAGTTTTGCTGCTTTTCATTTATTTGGTTTAGCATAGCCAGTGAGCTTCTTGTACTTCCTTTCTTTTTGAGACAGATTCTCACTCACTGTGTCACCTAGGCTAGAGTGCAGTAGCATGGTCTTGGCTCACTGCAACCACTGTCTCCTGGGTTCAGGTGATTCTCTGATTCTCATGCCTCAGCCTCCTGAGAAGCTGGGATTACAGGCAAGCACCACCATGGCTGGCTAATTTCTTTTTGTATTTTTAGTAGAGACAGGGTTTTGCCATGTGGGTTAGGCTGGTCTTGAACTCCTGGCCTCATATGATCCACCTGCCTCGGCCTCCCAAAGTGCTATGATTACAGGCATAAGCGATCATACCGGCCTTGTACTTCCTTATCTGTACCCAGTATAATTACACGTTTACTGGAGCTGTGTTTTTAAGATTGATAATTGTTTACAATGGATTAGTCGTAAGTGCCAAAGAGTCTCAATTGATTCTGTCTACAAATGATGACTTGACCTTAATGTCATAAAAGTAGTTACTAATTTTTTTTATTGACGGCAGTAGACCTGATATTTCAGAATTGCATAGTAAAAGCAATTTATTAATTTTTGTGTACTTCCAGATAAACTATTACAATAAAGAAAGGGGCCGAATGTTAAAAAAAATTTTTTTCCATCTTGGTTACTGCCTGAGCAGGTTGGAGCTGTGGGTGAGGGTTCCCTGGAATGGGGACAAGTTGGTTCCAGATGGTTTTGATACACCTCATTCTGCAACCTTCCTTTTCATACTCCAGCCCCATAAAAAACACATGGTATGGAAGTAGTACTAGGAAAACTCCCTCTTCCCTTCTTCAGACTTGCTTCCTTACTTCTTTACTACTTTGGTCAGTATCACTGTAATGTGGCAGCTGCTTCTGAGGGGTCAGTCATTCTCCTTCAGTTCACTCACAGATTATGAGCCAGGTAATCTATTAAAAGCCTCTAAATGTTATTTGTTCATCCAGAATCCCTTTCCAGGAAGATGTCTCCTCTCGCACTTTGTGAGATTCTATTCAAAATAAGGATTTTGAAAAGCCCTGACATATTCCTGGGAATCTAGAGGATAAGCACATGCTCAAGAAAAACCTGAGAAAGCCCTAAGCTCTCACCTCTGCATGACCTTCAGTCTCTAAGCAAGAAGAAATTGAAGACTAAGGCAGAGTTATAAACTGCCTAACTGAACTCTGAAGGCATGTCCCAATACACATACACAGGCTTATCTATAAAGACAGGGCAATTTTACTGTTTTTTGTCCCAGGTGTTTAAGGAAATCTCTGTCCAATCACTAGCTGATTGTGAAGCTAATGGAAGAGACTTCTGTGGCCATACACACACACACACACACACACACACACACACACACACACAAAGAGTTCTCAAAATTAGTTCAGAAAAGGCACTAAACAAACAAACAGCAACAACTACAACAGGCAGGAACAACAAACCCTAGGGAAATCTGATTTCCAGAGTTGCCAAATTATAATATTTGAAATGTCCGGTTTTCTACAAAAAATTACAAGGCATGGAAAAAACACAAGGAAGTATGGCCCCTACACAAGAAAAATGACAATTGATAGAAATTATTCCTGAAGAAGCCCAGACATTGGGCTTACTTTTAAGAGACTTTAATTCAACCATTTAAAATATGCTCAAAAAACTAAAGGAAACCATGTACAAAGAACTAAAGAAAACCATGAGAATGATGTCTCACATATAGAGAATATCAATAAAAAGACCAAACTTATAAAAAAGAGCCAAATATAAATTCTAGTGCTTAAAAGAATAACTGAAAGGAAAAATTTATTAGAGAGACTCAACAGCAGATTTGAGCAGGCAGAAGAATCAGTGAACTTGAAGATAAGTCATTGAGATTACTCAGTCAGAGGAGCATAAAAAAGAAAGACATAGAATAATGAGCAGACTTTAAAAGACATCACCAAGTATACCACAACATATGCATAATGGGAGTGCCAGAGGAGGTAGTGGGGTCTAATAGGAAGAATACTTGAGAGAAATAATGGGCAAAAACTTTCCAAATTTGATGGAAAACATTAGTCTATACATCTAAGAAACTCCAAGTAGGATAAACTCAAAGAGGTCCACACTGAGACACGTTATAATTAAACTGTTCAAAGATAAAGACAAAGATAGAATCTTGAAAGCAGCAAAAGAGAAGCAGCTTATCACGTAGAAGTAATGCTTAATAAGATTAACAGCTTATTTATCATTAGAAACCATGGAGGTAAGGAAGCAATGGGATAGAACATTAAAAGGACTGAAAGAAAAACAGCTGTCAGCCAAGAATGCTATATCAAGCAAAACTATCCCTCTGGAATGAAATAGAAATTAAGAAATTTCCAAATAAAAAAAGAGTTTGTCACTAATGCCCTACGAGAAATGCTAAAGGGAGTCTCTCATGCTGAAATGAAAGGACAGTAGGCAGCAATTTGATTTCACATGAAGAAATAGAGAACACTGGTAAAGGTAAATATAAAAGTCAATATTAATGTATTTTTAGTCTGTATCTGTTCTTTTTTCCCATATTATTTAAAAGGCAACTATATAAATAAAAATTACTGATATATATCTATGATAGACACAAATGTGTAAAGATGGAATTTGTGACAAAAGCAACATAAAGATGGGGGTAGAACTATATAGTAGCAAAGTTCTTATACTGAAACAGTATTAATCTAAACTAGATTGTTATAAATTAAACATTAATTTTAATCCTCAGGGCAACCACTATGAAAATAACTAAAAATATATAGTAAAAGAAAAGATGAGGAAATTAAATAGTATATTAAAAAATATCAGCCAGTCATGGTGGCTCGCGCCTGTAATCCCAATACTTTGGGAGGCTGAGGTGGGTGAATCATTTGAGCCCAGGAATTCAAGACCTGCATAGGCAATATGGCAAAATCCCATCTCTACAAAAATACAAAAATTAAGCTGGCACAGTGGTGTGCGCCTGTAGTCTCAACTACTTGGGAGGTTGAAGCAGGAGGATCACTTGAGCCTGGGAGGTGGAGGTGTCAGTGAGCCAAGATTGTGCCACTGCACTCTAGCCTGGGTGACAGAGAAAGACCTTGTCTCAAATAAACTGAAATAAAATAAAAAAAAATATCTTTAACACAGAAGAAGGCAGTAATGAAGGAAATAAGGAACAAAAATGGTATGAAACACTGAAAACAAATAGCAAAACAGCAGAAGTAAGTCCTTCCTCAATTACTTTAAATGTAAATGAATTAAACTTTCCAATCAAAAGGCAGATAATAGCAGATGAGTGTTTAAAAATGATGTAACTATGTGCTATCTACAGGTGACTCACTTTACATTCAAAGATACAAATAGGCTGAAAATGACAGGGTGGAAAAAAGTATACCATGAAAACAGTAACCAAAGGCAGTGGGGGTGGCTATACTAATATTGGAAGCAATAGACTTTAAGACAAAAATTGTTACAAGAGACAATGAATGACATTATATAATGATAACAGGGATATTTCATCAAGAAAACATAACAATTATAAAGATATATGCACCCAGCAACAGAACCCCAAAATACATGAAGCAAAACCTGAGATAATTAAAGACAGAAATAGACAAACAATAACAGTTGCAGATTTTAATATTCCACTTTAAATAATAGAACAACTATACAGAAGATCATCAAGGAGGCAAGGCGTGGTGGCTCACACCTGTAATCTCAGCACTTTGGGAGGCCGAGGCAGGCAGATCACCTGAGGTCAGGAGTTCAAGACCAGCCTAGCTAACATGGTGAAACCCTGTCTCTACTAAAAACACAAAAATTAGCCAGGAGTGTGGCGGGTGCCTGCAATCCCAGCTACTTGGGAGGCTGAGGCAGGAGAATCACTTGAACCTGGGAAGTGGAGGTTGTAGTGAGATGAGATTGTGCCATTGCACATCAGCCTGGGCAACAAGAGTAAAAGCTCCATCTCAAAAAGAAAAAGAAAAAATAAAAAAGATCATCAAAGATATAGAAGACTTGAAGAGTACTATAAACAAACTAGACCTAGCAGATATTTATGGAGCACTCCACTCAACAACGACACTCAAAGTGCTGGGATTACAAGAACGAGCCACCACAGGTGGTTCTCTTCCTCTTCTTATAAAGATGTCAGTTCTATCCAATTAAGATCCTGTTTTTTTTTTTTTTTTTTTTTTTGAGATGGAGTCTCACTCGGTCACCCAGGCTAGCGTGCAGTAGTGTGGCCTTGGCTCACTGCAACCTCTGCCTTGTGGGTTCAAGGGATTCTCATGCCTCAGCCTCCTAAGTAGCTGGAACTACAGGCGCATACCACCATGCCCAGCTAATTTTTTGTATTTTTAATAGAGACGGGGTTTCACATGTTGGCCAGGCTGGTCTTGAACTCCTGACCTCAGGTGATCTGCCCACCTTGGCATCCCAAAGTGCTGGGATTGTGGGAGTGAGCTGCTGAGCCAGACCAAGGCCCTCTCTTTATGATCTCATTTAACCTTTAGGTCCTGTCTCCAAATATAATCACATTGTGGGTTAGAGCCTCAATACATGAATTTGGGAGGGATACAGTTCAGTCGAAAACAGGCATCTATGAAAAACCCACAGCTCACATCATACTTAATAATAAAAGATTGAAAGCCTTCCCCCTACAATCAGGAACAGGATAAGCATGTCAGCTCTTGCCACTTCTGTTCAACAACGCATTGGCAATTCTATCTAGGGCAATTAGTCAATAAATAAATAAAAGATAATCAGATTGGAAAGGAAAAAGTAAAACTATCTCTATTTGCAGATCACATACTCGTTTATATAGAAACCCTTAAAGAATCTACAAGAAAAGACTATTAGAGCTAATAAACAAGTTTAGTGAAGTTTTAGTGTACAAGAATCAGTTGTAATTCCATACACTAGCAATGAAAAATCTAAAAATAAAATTAAGAATTTCATTAATAGTAGCACTGAAAAACATAAAATAATTGGGAATAAATTTTACCAAGTAAGTATAAGATTTGTACACTGAGGCCAGGCGTGGTGGCTCACGCCTGTAATCCTGGCACTTTGGGAGGCCAAGGAGGGAGGATCACCTGAGGTCAGCTACTCAGGAGGCTGAGGCAAGAGAATTGCTTGAACCCAGGAGACAGAGGTTGCAGTGAGCCAAGATTGCGCCACTGCACTCCAGCCTGGGCAACAAGAGCGAGACTCTGTCTCAAAAAAAAAAAAAAAAGATTTGTACACTGAAAACTACTGTTAAAAAAAAATTTTTAACCAAAATAAATAAAAGACATCCCACATTCATGAACTGGAAGACTTTTTTTTTTTTTTTTTGAGACAAGGTCTCTCTCTATTGCCTAAGTTGGCGTGCAATGGCTTGGTCATGTCTCACTTCAGCCTCAACCTCCTGAGTGCAAGTGATCTTCCTACCTCAGCCTCCCAAGTAGCTGGGACCACCACACCTGGCTAATTTTTGTATTTTTTGTAGAGATGGGGTTTCACCATGTTTCCCAGGCTGAATCTTAATATTTTTAAGATAACAATACTCCTCAAAATGATCTACAGATTCAGTGCAATCTCTATCAGAATTACAGCTGACTTGTTTGTAGATATAGACAAGCTAATTCTAAAATTTTATGGAATTACAAGACACCTGAATGCCGATCACAGTCTTGAAAAAAAAAAAACCAGCGTTGAAGGACTGACATTTCTCAATTTCAAAATTTACCACAAAGCTTCAGTAATTGAAACAATGTGGTACTGGTATAATCTCAATTCCATTTCTATATGAAATAGAATTGAGAACCCAGAAATAAACCCATACATCTATGGTCAGTTAGTTTTCAACAAAGGTGACAAGACCACTTGATGGTGGAAAGAATGGTCTTCTCAACAAACAGTCCTGAAATAATTCAATATTTATATGCAAAAGAATTAATTTGGATACCCTACTTTTTACCATATCAAAAAATTAACTCAGGGCATATCAGAGTCCTAAATATAAGAGACCTAAAACCCTGAGACTTTTAGACGGAAACATAGGTGTAAATCTTTGTGACTTTGAATTAGACGTTTTCTTAAATATGACACCAGAAGTACAGGAAATGAAAGAAAAATTGAATTTCATCAAAATTTAAAACTTTTTTGTATCAAAGGACACTCTCAGGAGAGACAACCCACAGAATGGAATAAAATATTTGCAAAACACATATTAGATATGGGACTAGTATCCAGAAAAAAAAAATATATATATATATATTTTTTTTCTTTTTTCTTTTTTTCTTTTCTTTTTTGAGATAGAGTCTTGCTCTGTCGCCCAGGCTGGAGTGCAGTGGCACCATCTTGGCTCACTGCAAGCTCCACCTCCCGAGGTCATGCCATTCTCCTGCCTCAGCCTCCCAAGTAGCTGGGACTACAGGCGCCCACCACCACGCCCGGCTAATTTTTTGTATTTTTAGTAGAGACGGGGTTTCACCGTGTTAGCCAGGATGGTCTTGATCTCCTGACCTCGTGATCCACCCGCCTCAGCCTCTCAAAGTGCTGGGATTACAGGCATAAGCCACTGTGCCCGGCCGTATCCAGAATATATTGTTTTTAAACTCTTACAATTCAGCAATAAAAAGACAACCTAATTTTTA
Organism: Homo sapiens; assembly: GCF_000001405.40. NCBI lineage: Eukaryota > Metazoa > Chordata > Mammalia > Primates > Hominidae > Homo > Homo sapiens. The sequence goes on along the minus strand of NC_000014.9, from coordinate 77,165,846 downwards.
ACAACAAGCAAAGGACTTGAATAGACGTTTTCCCAAAGAAGATATATAAGTGGCTAATAAGCACATGAAGAGATGCTCAACATCATTAGTTATTAGGGAAACAGAAATCAAAACCACAATGAGATGCCACTTCACACCCTCTAGGATGGACACAAAATGGAAAATAACAGGCGTTGGTGAGGATGTAAAGAAATTGAAACCTTCATACATTGCTGATAGGAATGTAAAATGGTGCAGCCACTGTAGAAAATAGTTTCGTGGTTCTCCAAAGAGTTAAATATGGAAATACATATGTCCCAGCAATTTCACTCCTAGATATATATGCAAGAAAATTGAAAACATGTTCAAACAAAATGTGTACATGAATGTTCACAGCAACGTTATTCATAACAGCCGAAAAGTGGAAACAACCCAAATGTCTATCAACAAATGAATAAATAAAATGTGATATACAATGAACTATTATTCAGCCATAAAAAGGAACGAAGTACTGATATGTTCTACAACATGGATGAATCTTGAAAATATTATTCTGAGTGAAAGAGGCCAGATACAACAGGCCCCATATTGTATGATTCTGTCTATACAAATGTCCAGAATAGGTAAATCCACAGAGATAGAAAGTAGGTTGTTCACTGGCAGGAGCTGAAGTGTTGGGTGGTGGTCATGGTGGTGGTGATAGTGAAGGGGGCACTGAACTGACTGCTTCATGGCTGTAGGGTTTTCTTTTTGGGGTGATGAAAGCTTTCCGTAATTACTGGTGATGGTTGCACAACTCTGTGAGTACACACACAAAAAACACTGAATTGCATTTTTTTTTTTGGAAATATGGAACAGAAGTTGTGATGTATTACTACTGGTGGTATAAGAGAGCTAAATCATAATTGATTATAATAGGGTATAGAAAAGTAATATCTAGAAATGGATATATAGAGAAATAGCAGCATAAATATGGTATTGTCTCTAGAAATATGCAGATAAGTACCAGATAAAACAACTGAGCACTTAAAGAAGCTGTTTCTGGGGATTCAGGAGTAATAGGTTGGAAGTGGGAAGTGGGAATGACATTTCTTCTTCTTTTTTTTTTTTTATGCTTCAAAAGACTCTTTAAGTGGTTTAAGGCCAGGCGCAGTGGCTCACGCCTGTAATCCCAGCACTTTGGGAGGCCGAGGCGGGCAGACCTCCTGAGGCCAGGAGTTTGAGACCAGCCTGGTCAATATGGCGAAACCCCGTCTCTACTAAAATGCAAAAAAATTAGCCGGGTGTGGTGGCACACACCTGTAATGCCAGCTACTCGGGAGGCTGAGGCAGGAGAATCGCTTGAATCCGGGAGACAAAGGTTGCAGTGAGCCGAGATCGTGCCATTGCACTTCAGCCTGGGTGACAAGAGCAAGACGCCGTCTCAAAAAAAAAAAAAAAAAAAAGTGGCTTAAATGGTGAATTTTATGTTAATTCTGTCTTAACAAACAACAACAACAAAAAAGTACAACTGGAGTGGATTTCTGTGTATATGGGCGATAGGGAATCAATTTCAATTTTTACCTGTGGACCTTCATCATCATTTATTGAAAATACTATCTTTCCTGACCTCTCTGCAGCGCCACCTCTGTTATAAGTCAACTGTCTGAATAAGTGGGGTCTGTTTCTGGGCTCTCCGATCTTCCGGCCTATTTGTCTATGCCTGAAACCACCATTACTGTAAGTTTACTGTAAACTTAAAATCTGAGAGAGCAAGTTCTCCTACCTTGTTCAACTTCTAGAATATCTTGTCCTTTTTTAGCTCTTTGCATTTAGAATCAGCTTGCCCAGTTCTAAAAACAAACCTGATGATATCTTGGCTCAGATTGGATTAAATCTATAAATAATTTGGGGTGAATTGATATCCTTAAATTATTAAATCTTCAGGTCCAAGAATATGGTGTATTGGCATACCAAGAATATGGTAAAGTTTTATAATTTTTTCTATGAAGGTCTCGCATAGCCCTTAAAAAATATATTTCCAAATTCTAATACGTTTATATTATATAAATTATACATTGAATTTTTTTCATTTTCAAATTATTTGTTGCTGCTATATAGGGTGTAATTGATTTTTATTTTTATTAATTTATTTTATTTATTTATTTGAGACAGGGTCTCACTCCCATCGCCCAGTCTGGAGTACAGTGGTGTGATCTTGGCTCACTGTAGCCTCAACTTCCCAGGCTCAAGAGATCCTCCCACCTCAGCCTCCCAAGCAGCTGGGACAACGGGTGCATACCACCTTGTCCAGCTAATTTTTTTGTATTTTTTTGTAGAGACTGGGTCTTGCTATGTTGCCCAGGCTGGTTGATTTTTATATATTGATTGTTTAATTCAGCAACTTTGCTAAACTCTCTTATTAATTCTTAGTAATTCTAATAATTCCTAGATTATTTTGGATTAAAACAATTTAGCCATTATTAAAAAAAAAAGTTCATGCCCCCCAAGTCTAATTACATGTATGTTATTCCAGTTGATATTGTCACCGATCATGTAGGCTCTGTTCCTTTCATCAGGCTTTTTTCTCTCTGGTTCCCTTGTAGCCTCTTCAGACGTCATCTACACCCTGGCAGAGTACCCAAAAGCCCTTCACAGGGACTCAAATCGCTGTAAAGCAATTCAATTTTCCTATCAGATTTATTTATATATTTAAAAAATTAAAAAGAGTGCCCATGCATAGTCAATGCCAGGGTTCAGGAGAGTGGTTGCCTCTTGAGGGAAGGTAGGAGGAGGGGATTAGGAAGTACATCAAAGATAATTTACTGTTTTCTTTCTTATGCTGGTGGCAAGAGCATGGATTTTATTTTTATTTTTATTTTTACAACCTTGAGCCATAGGAGCATGGATTTTTGATGGGTTATTTTTTATATTTTTTTGTTTGTTTTAAATATTTCATTTTTCAAAAGACACAAAGACATGAATCTCTACATGTTGGAATCTCTGAAAGTGAAAATGAAAGAACTGAAATATAGGATGTTTGGGAATTGAAACAAGATATCAGGAAATCATCAGGGTCTAGACTTGGGCTCCTTGATACCGCTTCTCCTGTCCTTCCAAGATGCTCCCTTGGTCCTTGCATGCTCCTCTGTATCCTGGAACAGCCTAAGGGGCTCTTGGTGGAGTGGGCAGGAACAGAGGCTGTGGACGCCCATGGTCATTTGTTAAGTCTGATGCCTCTAAGCTGGCACTACCCGCTTTTGAGCATATATTATCCTGACTTTATTGCCAGCATATTATTAGTTGTAGGAAAATATAGCTAACTACTAAGTGCCTTTAGGCTACAGTGAGATGATTTTTCCTCGCCTTCAGTACCCTTTTGGCTGAGCAATGCTTAATATTCTCAGCTCTGTCCATTGTTTCCTTTCAGATCTTTCTATCCTGAGCAGGGATCCTCCCTCTCTCTGATGCCTCACATTGTGATGAGCTGGAAAGCCAGCTATCCCCTTGCCCCAGCAACTTCCTTACTAGCCTAGCCCTTGCCAAGGCATTCCAAACAACAACAACAGTAACAGCAATCTCTAATATTTGTTATACCTCACACACATTAACACGTGTATCTATCTACATGGATAGATAGATACAGGTATATACTATTATTATAGTTCTCAATTAATCTTCAAAATATCACAGGTAAGGGAGACATCATTATTATAATTTGTAATGCTTTATAGATGAGGAAACTGAGGTTCAATAACTTGGCCAAGACCACATGAGCAGGAAGAGGCTTGGCAAAGACCGGAACCCAGTCTTTCTCTCTCAAGATGCTGTATTTCTTGTGGATGGTCAGAACTGCCTGGCCAACCCATAGAAGAGTGAGAAACAATAAATCATCATTGATTTAAGCCATTGGTTTCTTGGGTGGTTTGTTACAAGGCAGTATATCCCTGAAACAGATGCTGAATATTAGATTGTAGATTAATATTTTCAGCATGAAGATATGTTTACAACATATTGTTAAGTGAAAAAAAAGAAGTTATAAAACAATGAATGCAACACGAGTTCATTGTTGCAAAAAACAAAAGCAGATGATCTGAATCTATTCGATTCCCATTTGGGGGTAGTGAGTGTTTAGATGTTGAGGGATGTTTGTATTTGCAGGAGGATGCTGATGCATTTCGATCCTATTGCCTGGAAGCTGATGACTGGAACCCAAAGCGGGATAATGTGTGTGGAGCATCTTCCACTCTAAAGAGAGGTGAAAACCACTGTGTACCTCCTGGGGCTTCAACAGCCTCCAGAACCAGCTCTCCACTCCCACCATTGCCAGAAACCCTCCTCCTTTCTATAAGCGGATGAGAACAGTCAAGACCGCCTAAATAATTTTTGGAGCCCAGTGTAAAATGAAAACAAGTTGCCCCTAATTTAAAAATTAAGAGACTTCAAGACAGAAGAGCATTGGACCAACCGCCAGCACTTCTGACCTGAGGCCTCATGGAAGTGCACAGACCACACACCCCTGAAACTGCCCTTGTTCCTAACCGAGGGTAGGGGCTCTGCTTCCCCCTCCGCTTTCTGGAAGTAGGGGTGAACTCCTGGAGACTTGCTCACAGAAACTGGGGTGCCTGTAAAGGAAGAGGCTGGCATCCCATGGCCCAAGGGGGGCAGGAATGGGAAGGAGAGTGGACAGAGGCAGCCACACAGAGCCAGCAGCAATGGAGGGGCCCGCATGCCCTGTTCGGCCAGGTAAGGGTGCATCAGTTTCCTGGGGGCCCCATAAACACTGGGGAGGTGGCTGGGGAGGAATTTCACTGGTGGGCCTCTGGGAGGTTGAGCTGAGAGGGAAGATATCTAGCCAGAGTAACCCTCTCCCTAGACAACTCAACCACATACCCCACTTGGAAGCCTGCGGCAGAAGGCATTGATTATCAGGCAGTGGTGGCCAAGAGAACAAGATCTGTGGCTGCTCCTCTCCAGCTCTCATCCCCCAACCCATCACACACCAACCTCAAATCCTGGAAATGAAAGGACTCCATGCGGGAGGGGAGGAAGAGAAACCTCTGCCCCCCATTCCTAGCCTTGCTTGATGCTGATGGACATGGGGCGGCGGCAGTCGTCCTATAATTGCACATGATTTTTAAAAATTATTTTTAGAGATAGGGTCTTGCCCTGTCACTCAGCCTGGAGTGCAGTGGTGCAATCATAACTCACTGCAGCCTGGAACTCCTGGGCTCAAGCAATCCTCCTGCTTCAGCCTACCAAGTAGTTGGGACTACAGGCTACACACCACTACACCTGGCTAATGTTTTATTTTGATTTTTTTTGTAGAGACAGAGTCTCGCTATGTTGTCTAGGCTGGTCTCAAACTCTTGGCCTTAAGCAATCCTCTGCTTTGGGCTCCCAAAGTGCTGGGTTTACAGGTGTGAGCCACCGTGCCTAGCTGAACATGGTATTTAACTTTTATTTTATTTTATTTTTTTTGAGACAGGGTCTCACTCTGTTGCCTAGGCTGGAGTATAGTGGCACAATCATGGCTCACTGCAGCCTTGACCTCCTGGGCTCAAGCAGTCTTCCCACCTCAGCCAGTAGCTGGGACTACAGGTGCATGCGACTACTCCTGGTAAATTTTTGTATTTTTTGTAGAGATGGGGTTTCACCATGTTGCCCAGGCTGGTCTCAAACTCTTGAGCTCAAGTGATCCACCGGCCTCGGCCTCCCAAAGTGCTGGAATTACAGGCGTGAGCCACCGCGCCTGGCCTTAACTTTTTTTTTTTTTTTGAGACAGAGTCTCCCACTGTCACCCAGGTTGGAGTGCAGTGGTGCAATCTCAGCTCACCGCAACCCCCGCCTCCCGGGTTCAAGCATTTCTTTTGCCTCAGCCCCCTGAGTAGCTGGGATTACAGGTGCGCGCCACTACGCTCAGCTAATATTTTTATTTATTTATTTATTTATTTATTTATTTATTTATTTATTTATTTTCAATTATCTATTTTTGAGATGGAGTCTCACTCTGTCACCCAGGCTGGAGTGCAATGGCGCAATCTCGGCTCACTGCAACCTCTGTCTTCCGGGTTCAAGCGAGTCTTCTGCCTCAGCCTCCCGAGTAGTTGGGACTACAGGCCCATGCCACCGTGCCCGGCTAAATTTTTTTTGTATTTTTAGTAGAGACGAGGTTTCACCATATTGGTTAGGCTGGTCTCAAACTCCTGACCTTGTTATTTGCCCGCCTCAGCCTCCCAAAGTGCTGGGATTACAGACATGAGCCACCGCGCCTGGCCAATATTTTTATTTTTAGTAGACATGGGGGTTTCACCATGTTGGCTAGGCTGGTCTTGAACTCCTGATCTCAGGTGATCCGCCCGCCTTGGTCTCCCAAAGTGGTGGGATTAAAGACATGAACCACCGCGCCTCTGGCCTGAACTTTTAAATTGAACTAGACTAACCTGGATTTTTAATAACTGGAGGTGACCAGAAAGCTAGGAATCTGCCAGGAATATTGTTCAGGGTCAGAAAAGGAGATTTGGCAAAGCATGGTCGAAGGCTGTGATTAGAGACAGAGCAAAAATATTTCCTGTTTGAATCCTGTTAAATTCAGACTTTTCCAAAGCCAGTTCCATGTGAATAGAAATACATTCAGAAGGAATTAGAGCAGGGCGTTAGGCACCAATTGGGTGTTGGGATTTTGTACTAAGACAAAAAGTGGCTTTTAATGAAGGGAGATGTGCTACCCTCCCTCCAGCCTGCCCCCTGAGTCTCCATCTCCTCTGGACCCCTGCCAGTGATGGGCAGCCCCTATCCAGTGGCACGCAGCCTCACTCATGCCTGTTCTGTGCAGCTCAGGAACCAGTCTCATAAATGTCTGTTGCATCAAAACATCACTGCAGAGCCAGGAAAGCTTTTGTGCCTCCCTGGAGAAGCCAGGTGGGGGTGATTTGCAGGGATCTGGTGCCAGCAGGGTGGTGAAGGTGAGGGTGGAGTTGGAGAGGGGCAGACAGGGTGCCCAACTCGTCCTCGTGTCATTTGGGGAAAGCCCTCAGTCCTGGGCCATCCAGGAGGGTTGGTCACCCTGGCAGCAGGATTCGGGCTGACAGAGGAGAAGATTGGTCGGCATGGGGTGAGGACAGAGCAAGGCTGGAGAGACCGCAGCTGGGAACAGCCTCAAAGGAGAGAGTGCCGCCTCTCCTTTGTCTCCACGGCTTTCACATCTTGTGGGGAACAAAGCCTCTTTCTGCTGGGAGGGGCTCCTTTTCCCTAAATCAGGAGGTGTGTGAGCATGTGAGCATGTGTGAGTGTGTATGTGTGGTGTAAGTGTGCGTGTGTGATATATGTGATGTATGTGATGTGTGTGTGCATGTGTGTGTGATGTGTGTGTGATGTGTGATGTGTGTGTGATATGTGATGTGTGTGTGTGATGTGTGCACGCATGTGTGCGTGTGTGTGATGTGCGGTGCTGGCGCACACCCTCCCTCCCTCTCTCACTCCTTCACTCCCTCCCTTTCTCACTCCAGCGGGGATGACTCAGCAGGGAAGCCGGGCCTGCTCCTCACTCTGGCTGTGATGCAGCTGCCGCCCGCTCCCTGTCCCCTGCTTGGCCTGCTCCTCACTCTGGCTGTGATGCAGCTGCCGCCCGCTCCCTGTCCCCTGCTTCCCCTCCTGGTGGCAGCCACACTGGCTGGTCCCAACTGCAAGAGCCGGGGACTTCTTGGGCTGAGGCCCCTGTGATCTCTCCTTGGTGGCCTTGAGGAGGGGGCTGACCAGCCTCCCCTGGCTGCACAGGCCCCTTATTCTCCCCCTCCCCATTCCAGCTGCTTTTCCCCTCCCCAGCTAACACTGATGGGGGTTCCCGTGTACCAGGCACTACGGTAGGACTTCATTCATCCTCACCCCGTGAAGCCAGCGCTCTGACTGTTGTCATCCACAAACTGAGAACGTGAGGGATGAGAGGCCAAGTCATTGGGCCAGCCATTCATTCACATGCAGTTCTGACAGATACGCACACCCACGTGGGCTAAAGGGTACGGGCAGGGACACTCATGAAAGAACCCCAGGTAGCAGGCTGGGCGTGGGGGCTCACGTCTGTCATCCCAGCACTCTGGGAGGCTGAGGCAGCTGGATTGCTTGAGGTCAGGAGTTCGAGACCAGCCTGACCAACATGGTGAAACCCTGTCTCTACTAAAAATACAAAAGTTAGCTGGGCGTGGTGGTGCATGCTGTAATCCCAGCTACTCAGGAGGCTGAGGCAGGAGAATTGCTCGAATCCGGGAGGTGGAGGTTGCAGCGCGCTGAGATTGCACCACTGCACTCCAGCCTGGGCGACAGAGCAAGACTCCATCTAAAAAAAAAAAAAAAAAAAATATCCAGGGCGTGGTGGTGGGTGCCTATAATCCCAGCTACTTGGGAAGCTGTGGCAGGAGAATCTCTTGAACCCAGGAGATGGAGGTTGTAGTGGGTCAAGACTGTGCTGCTGCATTCCAGCCTGGGTGACAGAATGAGACTCCAAAAAAAAAAAAAAGACGCCAGGTAGCAGCAACAAAGTGAACAGCTGGAAACAATCTGGTCAGTCAGTAGGACACATCACAGGAGTTATGGCGCATCTGCATGATGGAGGACCATGCACTCATTAAAAAGGACCTGGAAGCTGGGCAGGTGGCACACACCTGTAGTCCCAGCTACACAGGAGGCTGAGGTGGGAGGATGGCTGGAGCCTGAGAGCTGGAGACTGCAGGGCTTGAGGATTGTGCCTGTTGATAGCCACTGTACTCCAGCCTGGGCAACATAGTGAGAGCCTGTCTCTACAAAATAATAATTAATAAATAAATAAAAAGGAGGAGATCCATGTGTGCATGAATATTGAGCAATTGCCAAGGTACATCAATCAACAAAGAAAGAAGAATGTCCACGCTTGTAATCCCAGCACTTTGGGAGGCCGAGGCGGGTGGATCACTTGAGCCCAGGAGTTCAAGACCAGCCTGGCAACATGGCGAAATTCTGTCTCTATTAAAAATACAAAAAAATTAGCCAGGTGTGGTTGTGTGCGTCGGTAGTCCCAGCTACTCACGAGGCCGAGGTGGGAGAATTGCTTCAGCTCAGGGGGCAGAGGTTGCAGGGAGTCAAGATTGCGCCACTGCACTCCAGCCTTGGTGACAGAGTGAGACACTGTCTCAGAAAAATAAAAAGAAAGCAGAGTGCAAAGCAGTATGCTAGTGTATCTAGGGGGCAACTGTGTGTGTGTGTGTGTGCACCCATGAGCACACGCACGCATGCTTATGTCCCTATAGAGGCTCTTATCTGCAGACCAACTCTGGAGGAGGATACAAGTAATCGGTGGCAATGGTTGTCTCTGGGAAGGGGAACAAGAGACTGGGGGCTGGGGTGGTGGGCGGGGGGGACCTGCACTTATGACACCTTTATATGGTTCTAATATCAGACAGTGCCTTCTGAAAATGAGAAACCATTGTTTAAAAACTGTAATGCAGCCAGGCGCAGTGGCTCATGCCTGTCATCCCAGCATTTTGGGAGGCCAAGGCAGGTGAATCACTTGAGGTCAGGAGTTCGAGACCAGCCTGGTCAGGATGGTGAAACCCTGTCTCTATCAAAATACAAAACTTAGCATGGCTTCGTGGTGTGCGCCTGTAATCCCAGCTACATGGGAGGCTGAGGCATGAGAATCACTTGAACCTGGGAGGCAGAGGTTGCAGTGAGCTGAGATTGTGCCATTGTACTCCAGCCTGGGCAACAAGAGCGAAACTCTGTCTTAAAAAAAAAAAACAAAAAACAACCTATAATGCAATATGTAAAAGAAAACTCCACGTTTGCCTGACTTCAAAGTTCAAACCCTTAACCTTAAGAGAGGACTGCCAGAGGAATTTGGACTAAGGTGTGCAGGTGAGTGCTTGTGTGCGTGTGCATGCATGTGTCTGTGTGAGTGTGCATCTGTGCATGTATGTGTCAGTACAGGTGTGCTTGTGTGTATGAGTGGGCATGTAGAAGCAAGTGTATGCATATAAACTTTCAGAAATCCAGCTTCTGGTCCCCAAGTCCTATTTCCAGGAGGTGAGCCATGATAACCTTAACCCCAAACTATCCTCCCACGCTCTGCCCTTCTCTCTGTCTCAGATAGATGGCTGAATGGAACCACAGGGGAGGGAAGCATGGGAAGTGTGAGTGGGCTACCCAGACAGGCCTCCTAGCACAGGACTCCACTCCGTGGAGCCAGCTCTGCTAGGGGAGAAGATGCCCTTCCCCTTTCCCTTTCTCTCCCCTCCGCGCCACTCCCACCCCAGGCCCCAAAAGTTCTCAGCACTACCCTGATCTAGCAGCTTGGGACTGTGGGGTGGGGAGGGGGGAAGACAGGACTGGAGCTGAGCAGGCAGGGCACCAAGGGGAGGAGGTGGGGAACTGAAGGTTGCCTTTGCTGAGTAGAGGGATGATTTTTTGGGGCTTGGAGAGGTTGGAGAGAGGGCAGAGCCAGGGTGCCTGGAGATCAAGTTTGGGGGTGATGGTGAAACTGCCTGGGGAGTATGGGGACAGAGAGGGCAAGTGGAGCAGGCAGTGGTGCCTATAGCTCTTGGTCTCACGTGACCCCCTTAAACCACAGGCCAGGGTACATGGTTTGCTGCTAATTTTACCAGCAGGGTCAGATTTTCCGTCCCTGCTCCAAAATTATCCCTGAAAAGCTGGCAGGGACAGCCAATGCTGTGCACATTCTCTTGCCCCCAAATGTCTCCTCCCACATCTGGTAGCTTGCTTGAAATTCCACCCTCAGAATCCCACATGGGGTTCCAGTCCCAGGTCTGCCACCTACAAGCTGGGTGACCTGGACCAACTACCAACTACCAACTACCTAGCGGCTCTCAGGCTCAGGGCTTGATCTGTCAAATGCGGATGAGGGTGCAGGGCTGCTGTGAAGGTCCGTGGAAAAATACCTGCAAGACTCAATCAGTGTTAATGCCCCATTCCCCCTCCACACCTAGGGTGTCTGAGGGCTCCAGACCCAATCTTACAGGAAGAGGTAATGAGCAGGGAAATGAGTATTTTAAAGGGTGGGAGCAGAGAAGAAGTTGAGATGAGGGGCCTCAGCTCCTGAAAGGTGTCTCCTAAGCAGGAAAGAGAAGGCGGTGGCAGGTCAGGAAAATACATTTAGCAGCATCATAGAAATCTCTGCCCAGCTCACCAAGGCAACCGCCGCCTGTCCCTGCTGTGCAGCTGCCGCTGTCGCGGGGCCTCCCCCTCATTTCTCCCCTAGCTTTAACTTTAGCCAGATTCCACCCTAGAAAGGGAGGAGGCAGAGATGGGTGCACAGAGGGCTTTGTCTCAGTGCTGTGGGAGGAGATGCTATACATGGACCGGGAGGAATAGGACTGGAGGCAGCTGAGCACATCAGGGATTATAGGATAAGGGTTGGCAATGATGATAAGTACAATAGAACACAAATGTCATTTATATGCAGAGAGGAAATTACCCCATTACAGTATTTGTGTAATCCTTGTTCTGTGGTGTTATGGTTATTAGGTTATTTTATTTTCCTGCTTAATTTATGCTGGGGAGACTGCTAGGTAGAGATGTTCCCTGTAGGAAGGAGATGTCCCCTCATAGGCAAGATGTAGTAGAGAATTCTCATGGTTCCTCAATTCCCATTCTCCTCTTCTTCTCTAGGAATTGGACCTACAATTTTTAGCTAAGCACAGGGCCACCTGGAATAAAGACTCATCTGCTGACCTTCTTTGCATCTAGATATGGTCATGTGGCTAAATTCTAACCAATGGGAGACAAAGAGAAGTACCACAAGTAATTTCCAGGGGGTATCCTAAGAGAAAGAAGGTATGCCCTTGCTCATACTTTTTTTCCTACTTCCTGCTGATGGATGTTGAATCAATGGCTGGAGCATGAGAAGCTATTTTGGGCCATGAGGTAGAGGCTGCGTACTAAGAATTGAGGAGGAAATGATAGAAAAGGAGCCTGGGCCCTGATGTGATGAAGGACTTTGCCAGCCCTGGGCTAACACCTCCATCGTGAAGATGAAGACCACATCTGAGGGATGACCGAACAGGGAACTGGAAAGAGCCTGGGTCCCTCCTGGCACTGTAGAGTGGCCACATTAGCTCTGGAATGCCTGCCTCTGAACTTCATTTACATTAGAAGGAACTGCAGGTCTAGCTCATTTAAGCCACTGCTACTTTGGATTTCTTGTTTCTTCACAGCTGTGTCAAATTGTAAGTGAAATCCATAGCAAGTTTGTTCTAGGCTTCCCTGACCCATATGAGACAGGCAGAAAAGAGCCCAGCTGAGCTTCTCTTCTACAACTTGGAGTGAGCTGCAATGGTGGGGGCCAAGGATAGTGTCCAGTCATTAAATGTCCTAGGAACTAGGAAGGCAGGAACTGGGTAAGGTCTCTTTCTCCCCCGGGGTCCCAGAGGAATGGGATAAAGCCTAGCTTTATCAAGAAACAAGAAACAAGATGGCAACTACACTAACTTTTTGCCCCCATGGGACTGTAAGCAACTTGAGGCTAGAGATTAGTATAGACCCCAGCACATAGTAAATGCTTACTAGTATGTATTGACTGGCTAATGGATGAACTATACTAAGGAGCTTGGATCAGAGGCTGAAGAGGTCAAAGTAACCCCTTGGGATAGAGTAGCAGCGGAGAGCCAGGAGAGAGATCCCTTATGGGAAGGTGACTCGGGGGAGTGTTGTGACAAGGCAGCACCACGTGGTCTGTGGCACACCCTTCCCACAATAATGCAGCATATCCTCTCTGGGTAAGGAGGACACTCATGGATGCAGTGCTTTATAGCTAGCCATTCTTGGTCATGTTCAGAATAGCATTTGTTCCTTGCAACCCCAAGGGCAGGGATTATTACTGCACTCTTTTCAGAAAGGAAAAGTAGGGCCCAGAACTTTGAGGTCACTTGCATAAGACCATTCGAAAGAAATGCAGGAGCGGCTGGGCGTGGTGGCTCACACCTGTAATCCCAGCACTTTGGGAGGCCGAGGCGGGCGGATCACCTGAGGTCAGGAATTCAAGACCAGTCTGGCTAATATGGTGAAACCCCATTTCTACTAAAAATACAAAAAAATTAGTTGGGCGTGGTGGCATGTGCCTGTAATCCCAGCTACTCGGCTGAGGCAGGAGAATCACTTGAACTCAGGAGATGAAGGTTGCAATGCCGAGATTGCACCATTGCACTCCAGCTTGGGCAACAAGAGTGAAACTGTCTCAAAAAAAAAAAAATGCAGGAGCTGGGTCTTGAACCCAGGATTTCCCATTACAAACATCACCTTTGTTGGAATAAAGGATGCAGCTGGGGCTTTCTGGTGCTAATGCCACTCTCCTCTGAACTCCCCAGCCCAACTCTGAGACTCTGAGGCAATCGATGAAGGGGTGAGACAAGGGAGGGAAAGGGTGTCAGGCAACCTCTCAGCAGTTTGGAGGGCTGGTAGAGAGATGCACCCAGCACTGCAAATAGCCCAAACAGTATATTTGTACAGAAAAGGGGTGTCCTTAACTCAAGATACTTTACTGCCATCTACTGGAAAATTATTATAATAATTATCCAAATATACATGTGTGAAAATGAGGTCCCTGGAATTGTAAAGTGTAGAACCTGAACAACTGTACAAGGCAGCCCTAGATGCAACTTCTCTTGCCTGAAAGAATGAAAAAAGAGAGGACCCTTGCCACCAGGGTGGCTCAAATCCTGCCCTCTTCTTTCCCACCTGGGAGTACCTGGTTTACACAGAGGGTCTGTGGTAGTCTAGCTCCTGTAGTTTCACCATCTAGGGCCCTGTAGAATCTATTCATCCTTCCATCCACTCTATGAACATGCCCTGAGTGTGTCCTCTGGTTCAGGTCCTTATCTGCATTCCTGCCATTTCCTAGCTGCGAGCTCTTGGATATTTTCCTGAGCCACTGTCTCCTTTCATATAAGATAAAGGTATCTCTCCTGGCCATTTGAGACCTACATGAGACAATGTACAGCACAGAGCTGAGCCCACCGGGTGGTCACCTTCTTTTCCACCTTTAGGCCCTGGCTAGAAACTGTGCTGGCTGGGAGGGCGCAGGGATCCCTGATCCCAAGAGGGGCTGAACAGTTGGGGTCGTGGGGATTGGACCTTGCAGGTTTCATTTACCTGCAGGAATAGGGTTGCAGACTGTTGCTTGAACAGGCCCCTGGAGATTTCCATTAGGGCTAAAAGCAGGGCCGTCCAACCCTTTGAGTTTCAGTTTTCTCATCTATAAGATGAAGCCAGCCATATTTACTTTGAACCATAATTGAGGGGATTGAAATGCAGGAAGAAAAGGTCTACCACAATGCCAGAAACGAGGTAAACACAAAATAAATTATAGCTACAATTGCAATCGTGGGCTCCAGGGGGCGTCTGGGGCTGGCTGAAGGATGCCATTCTCTACCATCCAACTCCCAGCCTCTGTGGGGGATTGGAAAAGCAGGTCCCGGAGCTGGTGAGAAGGCAGGTTACAAGCCCCTCACTCCTTAAGTGGGAAGGAAGCTGGCACAAACTTTCTGGAGGATGGTTTGGCAATAGGGATCCTTTTGACCCAGCCATTCCACTTCTTGGAATTCAGCCAAGGAAATAATCACAGGGTCCCATAGAGTTGTTTGTGTTAGGACGTTCATTGCAATGTTGCTAATAATAGTGAGAAATTGGAAATAATCTAAAGTTAGAGATGCACTCAACACACATTTTGGCTGAACACCAGATGGTCAATTGTTACAATCCGTATTCAGCCGAAGCCCAAGCCAATGCCTTTGATAAAGGAGTACATCTAAAATTTTATCAGAGATTCTCTGTGATGACAGTTTCCTTATTGGTGCATTTCACTGTCAGTATTTAACAGTTTAATGTTATAGTGCAAGAACAACATTTTCTTAGTGCTAGCAGTAGCGAGATTGCTCCTGTATCATGTATTATGTAATGTTTGTGTTAATAAATTGGTGCTTACTTTTGACTGAATGGCAGAGGAGTGTGATGCCTCACTTGTTCTAATAATTTTTTCTTGGCCAGGCGCGGTGGCTCACGCCTGTAATTCCGGCACTCTGGGAGGCCGAGGTGGGTGGATCACCTGAAGGCAGGAGTTCA
Organism: Homo sapiens; assembly: GCF_000001405.40. Taxonomy (NCBI): domain Eukaryota; kingdom Metazoa; phylum Chordata; class Mammalia; order Primates; family Hominidae; genus Homo; species Homo sapiens. The sequence goes on along the minus strand of NC_000014.9, from coordinate 77,150,786 downwards.
AGACCAGCCTGGGCAACATGGCGAAACCCCATCTCTACTAAAAATACAAAAAATTAGCTGGGCGTGGTGGTGGGCACCTATAGTCCCAGCTACTTGGGAGGCTGGGGCAAGAAAATCGCTTGAACCCGGGAGGCAAAGGTTGCAGTGAGCCGAGATCATGCCACTGCCCTCCAGCAGAGAGAGACTCCGTCTCAAATAATAATAACGATAATAGTTTTTCTTTTTTTCATATTCTTTATATTCCATACTGAGTTAAATATAATTTACCATAGATATTGTTATTAATATATGTGATTTTGGAGGTTTCCCTATTTATGAAATTATGAGGTTGGTTAAGCTGAGATTCTGTTTTTATTTTATCTTTATAAGATATAAAGAGTTACAAATAGGGCTTAAAAAAAGATTCATGGCTTACATAGAATAAAGTAACTAAAAATGGAATACAGTTTTAAAAGGTTATTTTGTTTAGTGCCATGAATATTAGTATCCCAAACAATTCTACACAGATTAGAACTCTGATATAATCTAATCCATATTATTCTCCTTCATATTATTATTTTAATTTTTTTGTTGTTGTTGCCTCAAAATGTATCTTTAAGCCAGATGTAGTGACTGAAGACTGTAATACCAGCTACTTGGGAGGCTGAGGCAGGAGGATTCCTTGAACCCAGGAGTTCTAGGCTTCAGTGAGCTATGATAGTGCCACTGTACTTTAGCCTAGGGGTGACAGAGTGAGACCCTGTCTCTAAAAAAATTTAAAAATGTTTTCAAGTCTTTAAAAAGTATCTTTTAAAAGTATCTAGCTGACATATTTTTCAAAATTTGTATTAGCTATGTGTTTCCTTCTAAATCTGAATACTTAAAAGCTCTCAATAATTATTTCCGTACATAAAAGGGACAATGTTTACAATCATAAATGATTACAGCATTTTACTCTTGCAATAATAAACGTACATTTATACATTGATAGAATTTCAACACATAGAGCACGAAAGAATATATTCATTACAATTTACACATAGAAGGTCATCCATATTTAAAAGTGTTTATCACAGTACATCCAAATGATATGCCTGTATAACAGGTTGTTACGCTTATTGCATGCAAAGTCCATGTAACACAGCCACAGGATCATGGATCATGCCCCAGTCTAGGAAACCCAGAAATGATGCTTAAGTCTGAACTTGGCAATTCAGCCTTTCAGGGGCCAAAGTTGAAGATGAAGCTCTAGAGCAAAATTTGATACTAAGATCAAAGCCAAATTTTGGTGCACCCCTATTAAATTGTGTCACTTCTGTAAGAGGGACATACTCGCTGTCCATTAAAAATTACGCCGGGGAAATGTATTTATCAACATGGAAGGATTGTCTTGTTAATGCTGAATTTTAAAAGCTGATTATAAAAGATAATGAAGATGTGAGCTCAAATTTGTAATTAAGGGGAAAAAAATTTGAGTAGATGAAAGATTGTGAGACACGTACAAGATGTTCATGATAATTAGCTCAGGGCTTAAGATGAAAAGATTTTGTTTTGCTTTTAATTTTAAAAAATTTTGTATTTTCTTACAAAACATATTACTCATATGGTTTTTAAGAGTAAAAAATATTTAAAGTGCATCTTTTCTGTCTCCCCTTCTCTTTCATCTTGGGCCAGATTTTGAGCTTATTGAAGCAGCCAGATGGCCTGGGACACTGATCATAGCCACCTCCAGCCCTCACCATCCATGTTCATCTGAGGGCCAAGGCTTTGGCAGGCTGCAGCTGCCTTTCCTGCACCTGTTCTGTGAGGAGAAGGAAACGTGCCAAGAGGAAGGCAAAGATCAGGTGGAGGGCAGAAAAGGGCAGCGAGCAATAGCCCCATTTGACCAATGACAAACTGGAATCTCAGAGGCTAGAAGTCCCAGAAAAATCCATCTTCAGTCTTGAGGCCCAGGGAATGGATAAATTGCATGTCTAAACTTTTTCACAGTAGAAGAAAAAGCTGCAAGTCATCCCCCAAATCCATTTCCCTCCTCTTCTTTCTCAATACAACTCACAAATCTTAGCTGGTTACATACTGACCAGTACTAGGTGTGGCCATGTGACCAAGTTCTGGCCAATGAGAGAGGTAAGTGCATGTAATGTGTGCGACTTCCAGGAAATGTCCTTAAAAAGTAGGGTCTGTGTAGGCCGGGTGCAGTGGCTCGCGCCTGTAATCCCAGCACTTTGGGAGGCCAAGGCAGGCGGATCACAAGGTCAGGTGTTCAAAACCAGCCTGACCAACATGGTGAAACGCCATCTCTATTAAAAATACAAAAATTAGCCAGGCATAGTGGCGTGTGCCTGTAATCCCTGCTACTCAGGAGGCTGAGGCAGGAGAATCGCTTAAACCTGGGAAGTGGAGGTTGCAGTGAGCCCAGATTGCATGACTGCACTCCAGCCTGGGTAACAGAATGAGACTCTGTCTCAAAAAAAAAAAAAAAAGGGGGGGGGGTGGTGGCGGGGATGTGGTTGGATGCAGTATCTGTGATACAAGCATTTTGGGAGGCTGAGGCAGGAGTATTGCTTGAGGCCAGGAGTTTGAGACCAGCCTGGGCAACATAGTGAGACCCCCCTCCCCCCGCATCTGCCCCACCCCGTCTCTAGAAGAAATTGAAAAAAAAATCAGCTGGGTGTGGTAGTGCACATCTGTAGTCCAGCTACTCTGGAGGCTGAGGCTGGAGGACTGCTTGAGCCCAGGAGGTTGAGGCTGCAGTGAGCTATGATCACACCATTGTACTCCAGCCTGGGTGACAGAGTGAGATCCTGTCTCAAAAAAAAAAAAAAAAAAAAAAAATGCTGGGCGTGGTGGCTTACGCCTGTAATCCCGGCGCTTTGGGAGGCCAAGGCAGTTGGATCACTTGAGGCCAGGAGTTCGAGACCAGCCTGGCCAACATGGTGAAACCCCGTCTCTACTAAAAATACAAAAATCAGCCAGGCATGGTGGCGCATGCCTGTATTCCCAGATACTTGGGAGGCTGAGGCAGGAAAATCACTTGAACTTGGGAGGCAGAGATTGCAGTGAGCATTGCAGTGAGCCGAGATCATGCCACTGCACTCCAGCCTGGGTGACACAGCAAGACTCTGTCTCAGGAAAAAAAAAAAAAGAGAGGGGAGCTATTCTTTCTCCTTTTCTCCTTTTTGCTGGCTGGAATATGGGCATGATGGCTGGGATAGAAGCAGCTGTTCTGGACCATGAGGCAGCATGCTCAGGATGATGGAACTAGATAGAGTCTAGGTCTCACATAACCTTGGAGCCTCTGCATCAACCCTGGAGGGGCTCCCTTAAACTTCGTTTACGTGGCAGTGAAATAGACTTTCATCTTAGTTTAAACCAGTTTTGTCTTGGGGCTTCTATCACATGCTATGGAACCGAATCACAGTTCGTTACATAACTTCTCACTTCTTTAGTGTTTACTATGCCAGCCACTATTCTAAGTGCTCTACAGATGTTATCTTGTTTAACCTATGTAACAACCCTATCAGGCGAGAGCTGTACTTAACACTCTTTTATAAATAGGACACTGAGACACAGAGAAGTTAGCTGGCTTGCTCAAGGCTGCACCAGTGAGTGTTGGAGCTGAAACCTGAACCAGGGTCCTTTGACCCCAGAACCTGTGCCCTGAATGTTCTCTGGACCTTCTTCTTGGAGTCCTTTTTCCTCCTCTGGTCCCATCTGAAATTTCTATCCCATACTGCAGACCTGTTTTTGCTGATTCTGCACCTGTAATCCCAGCTACCCGGGAGGCTGAGGCAGGAGAATCGCTTGAACCCGGGAGGGGGAGGTTGCAGTGAGCCAAGACTGCACCATTGCACTCCAGCCTGGGCGACTGAGTGAAACTCTATCTCAAAAGAAAACAAAATGACAAACCCCCCAAAACAAAAGCTCATGACAAACTGCAGGTTAGTTAAAGTCCTCATTTAAAGGAGAGCAAATCTGAGACTCAGAGAAGTTAAGGAACTTGCTCAAGTTCACATAGCTGGTGAATGGCAAAGCTGGGAGACAAGCTCAGGTCAACAGACACCAAAAACTTGTGATTTTTTTGGTCGCACCACACTGCCTCTCTTCTGCAGCCTGGGCCATCTCTGCTGGGGTAGGGGGAGGGAGAAAGAGGGGGTCAGGAGTGTGAGGTTTGTGCTGCCTGCTGCTCTGTGACGGTAACGACATATCTAAGAGGTCTCCAAACAGCCAAGGGCACTGCAGGGACCTCACTCCCTTGGTCTCACTCCCCTCCTCCTGTAATTGAGATGTCCACCTTCTGCCTCATTCCCTCCCAACCTGGACACCTGGCATTGCAGGGCTCTCGATGGAGACAGCTGATTTTGCCCTGCTCCTCCCGAGCCTCCTCCATCATGAAGACATAAACTTGGTGTGTCAGACAGATAAATGAGCACTCTCTCACTACCCCCCTTTCTTCTCCTTCCTGTCTCCTTTTCTCTCTTCTCCTCTCTGCCCTCTCCCTCCCTCCTCTTCTTCCTCCCTATACCCCCTCTTTCTCCTCCCTCTGCCTCCTGCGTGCTCTGAGATGAAAGGGCCAGTTAATCTTGCTGCCACCGCTTCCACAGGGCTGGGTACTCGCTTGTCCACAGGCACAGGCGTCCCTACCAGGACTGCCTAAACGGTCCCTGGAAACCATGGCTAATTGGTGAAAGAGCCCATTGGTTCATTCTTCCACAGCCTGGATACTGCAAAAGAGGCTCTCCCAAGCTAACCCAAGATTTCCACCCTGATGCACCAATCACCTGGGAGACCACTGGGTTTACTTGTCACCCAGACCTGTAGTTTCTACCTTGACATGTGAGCTTGGAGGCTGAGCATACCTGCCCCTAATCACACACACCCCCTCCAGCACGACAAACAGCAGAGTGCCTGAGGGCATTTGATTAATGTGCTGCAGGCTTACAAGTTTATGCATATTATATTTATTCATTCAACCAATGTTTACTGAGCACCTACTACTATGTGCCAGACACTGTTATAGGCACTTGGGATATAGCAGTGAATAAAGCAGTTCAAATCCTACTCTCACGGAGTTGAGAATTCAGTGGGGAGAGACAGACAGTAAACAGACAAATATATACCTGTCAAGTGGTGATAAAAGTTGTTGAAGACAAAGCAGAGTAGACAGGATGCAGAGTGCAGAGCACAGCAGTTTTAGGTAAAGGGAGATCCTTCAGGTCTGTTACTCTGGGGGAGTATGTTACATACCTGCTTCCTTTATGCAACTGACATGTTCCAGAAAAGTTAAATATCGATGAGATATGTTTTGCATATTAAATCATATTTCAAATCAAACATAGTCAAGCCTTGCAAATTAACATGCAGCAAATCTCTGAACCTCAGTTTCCCCATAAGGAAAATGGGTTTGATAATTCTCACCCCAGCTAGTTTGTGCTGTTGAGAGAGATTCATGGGATGAAATTTTAATTTTGTGGATGACTTTGTAGCCTGCAAAGCACTTTATTACATCAAAGTAATGTTATCGTTGTTAAAATGAAGACATAGTTAGCAAAGTAAATTACCACCTCCAAATAGAAACTCTGTGATAATCCAATTTTCATGTATTTAGTTGGCTAAAATGAAGATTACACTTGCATGTTTTCCAAATCTGGGCAGGCAGGGATGGCATCTTTGTAAGCCTTCCCAGGCTTGGGAAACACTCTGTGGTTATCCCTGGCTATGATCTGCTGTCAGCGCTAAAGAGCATCCTGACCCAAGCCTATCTTCACCTTGATCTATCTGAAATAAGAGCATAAGAATGAAAGAAAACCACCACCAGCCTTCTTAGGTGCAGCTCCTTGCATCTTGGAATAGTCTCCATCCAAAACATTTGGGGCATTATAGGCCTGACAGACATGGAGGCGGGGTTACTCACTCAAGGCAGAAGCTGCTTGCTACATGGATTTCTCTCCTTGTAATACAACACTCTGAAGCAAAGTGGAATAATTTCCACTTGAAAGGGAATTCATTTTATTCAAATAACACCACCAAATAGCAAGATTGAGGGCGCATATCTCCAGGAAAGGGCTGGACAGCAATGAGATGCTTATCTGTGCCCCTGTCCCCATGGGACTGCCTGCAGGTACAGTTATGGCTTAACTATAGGAATCTACAGCAAGAGCAATGGAGAGTGTGGTTTATAAATCATTTCTGTCACTGTTTATGGAGGATGAGATTAGAGTCAGGGTGGGTGGTGGCAGGTTGCAAGATCAATGGCAAATGTGTCCTCAGCAGATATTTCTCTTTGAGACAGAGTCTTGATCTGTCACCCAGGCTGGAGTGCAATGGCATGGTCTTGGGTCACAGCAACCTCTGCCTCCTGGGTTCAAGCGATTCTCCTGTCTCAGCCTCTTGAGTAGCTGGGATTACAGGCACTGGCCACCACGCCTGGCTAATTTTTATATTTTTAGTAGGGACGGGGTTTCCCCATGTTGGCCAGGATGGTTTCGGACTCCTGACCTCAGGTGATCTGCCTGCCTCAGCCTCCCAAAGTGCTGGGATTACAGGTGTGAGCCAATGCATCTGGCCCTCACCAGACATTTCAAAGACCTCAGAATATAGCTCTTCCTTTCACAGACAGACCAGTAGCAATTCATCGATCAAGAGACTTTTACTCAGTGTCAACTCTGGGCAAATCATCCTATTAGGAAATATGGAAGAAACCCCAAAACATTTCCAACATAGGCAAGGAGCTCTCATTTTAGTTGGAAAGTGAAGAGAGTCCTGTGGTTGAAAAGAGGAGCCCTAAAGATGTGGGAGACGCTAAGGTGCTTAAATTACATGATCCCATTTGATCATCATCACCACAAATAACAGCAGCATTCTTATTCCCATTTTACCGATGAGAATACTGAGAGCAGAGAGGTTAAATGACTAGCAGCTCATGGTCACACAGCTGGTAAATGGCAATAAAATGCTCATTCTTAGTCTGCTTGACTCTCATAGGGCCAGAATCCAAGTGAAGTTTTCATATTGATTTTGCCTCCCTATTGATTTTGTCAGGGATAAGCATAAGTTTTAGAAAAACAAAATGACATTTGCCGTGCTTCCCTTCACTCCATTCCTTAAGGGGAGCTGAGGAACCACTAGCTTTAGATCTGAAGCTGTAATGTCCTTTTCTGTTGATAAACGATATTTCTAAATAAATAATCGTCCTTGTCCATTTGTGTTTCCACGACCAGATCTCCTTTTCCTGACTGAATACTCCCTTCCCCCACTAACATCTTCCCACGTTCGCTTAGCTTCTTTCTCTCTTTCCCTTTCCTCATACACACAGATTCAGACACACACCTTCCCACCTCACACCCATATGCAAAATAAAATTAGAAATACCACCCGACTCACAAGGTATTTGGGGAATGGAGATCTTCAGTCAGTATACCCAAACCCAAGCACCCCAGCCAGCCTCCCTCCCTGCCAAGCCCATGTGAGAGGCAGACAGAGCTTGTGAAAAGGGGCCCAGACGGCCACGATTATGAGACAAAGCTGCTCTGAAGGGAAAAGGGCCATGTGTGCCTCCCCATGTCTGTCCTGTGGCCACTGGAACTCACAAGGCTACCAGCTGCTCACGGCCACCATGTGGCATATACTGTTCTTTCACTTACATGTCAGATCCTTTTAGAATGTGAAAAGGTTTCCTGGCCTCTTTTTTATTTTGATGTATGCTGATAAATTACAGAGGAAACAGTGTGTGGTTATTCAAGAATAGAGGCTGAGCTGATCAGCATATGGCCCTCATTTCAAGGGATTGCTCTTGTTTTAATCAGCCAGTTGAGAAAGCAATAAATGTTTATTTATTAAGTATGCCATCACCGAGAGGAGAGGAACAGGGCAGGTAGGTGAGCTGCGACACCCAGGAAATTGAGGATGGTGATGGCACCAATATTCCTGCAGTGTTTGATGTTTTTAAGGCTCTGCTCCCCCCACCCCCCACTGTTTGATACACATTGGTGTCACTACCCTCTTGGCGCATCACAGTACCCACCTTAGAATAGCGGAGCCCTGGAAGGGGAAGGAAATAGAAATAAGAAGGTGGGGGTGAGGCTCAAAGAAGAAGCTCCAAGTTCAAGCTCTGTGTCTGGATAAACTCCCATTGTCTTTCCTTCTCTCAAATCAGAGCTGCCCGTGGGTCCCAGGGTGATGCTGGGCTGTGTAGAGGCTGAGTGCAGGAGCATTAATGCTAGAACCAGGTTCAAGTCCAGGCTCTGTCACTTAATGGCTGTATGACCTTAGACATGAGACTTAGCTTCTCTGAGCTTCAACCTCCTCATCTCCAGAATGGGGCTCAGCCAGCTTCACAGATCAGGCTGAGAGGATTAAGGAAGCATCTTATGCTAAAGGCTTAGCACAATGCCTGCTACCTAGTAGGGGCCCGATAAGTAGTGTCTAATTATGATCTAATCAAGCAGTGCTTGCCCTGGGCAGGCCCTGTTTAAGGGTTTTACATAGATTGTCATTTAACCCTCATATCTCTATTTCACAGATGAGGAAACTGGAATCTAAGATCACACTGGAATTTACAGACGAAGAAACTGGAATCTGAGATCTCACAGTAGTGAATGGTGAATATTCAAACCCAGGTAGACAGGCTCCAGAGTCCCAACTCCCAACCCTCTGTACACAGCCCTTCCGAGGAGATGACGCTGATCTTCATGGGTGTTGCCCTGGCAAGCTGACCTCTCAAGCCCCCAGGGTTCCTTCAGTCCGAGTGGAGAGCAGGGAAGGTCGTGGGACCTAGCCGAGAGGGAAGGGCAGGATGATGGCTGGAGAATCCACATCAGGGCTGAATCCCAATCTCCCAGCTGGAACGGGCGCTGAAACCAGGCAGGGCGCCCCAGCCCGCTCAAGGGGAATCGAGAGGGGAGGAGGGGGCAAGTCCACGATGCTGAGACTGGCGGCCAGAGCACCGCCCCCAGGAGCGGAGGGAGGGGTGGCGGGGCTGGGGGGTGCCCAGCTGCCATCCCCGCCGCTTCCTGGCCCTTACTCGCTGGCGCCCAAGTGGGAAGCCAGCAGCTGCCCGCTCCCTCCTCCCCACATCCCCGCTACTTGCCCAGTTCCCGAAGCGAAGCGCAGGCTGCGAGCCAGCCGGGCCGAGTCCACAACTTTGCAGCCTCGGGCAGGGCGAGAGCCGGCGTCCGGGGCTCCTCTTGTCGGCGACCAGAGCTCGGTGAGTTGATTTCCTCACCCCTCTGCGACGGCGGCAGTGCGGCGGCGGCGGCGCGGGGGGCGGCTTCCCGTGCGTCCGGGAGGCAGTGGCCGAGAAGCCCGCGGCTGCCGGCGCTGCCGGTCTTTCCAAGGCTCCGGCTGTGCCGCCCTCTGCCGCGGGCGAGGCGGGCGCCAGGGCTGAACGGACAGCTCCCTACACCCCGGGGCCCCACGGGCGGTCTCTGCTGTCCCTTCTCCCGCGCAGGGCCAGGGCTGAGGCTGCCTGCCGAGCGCCCCTCACTCCCCTAGCCCCTGTCCTTCGCCGCCTTCCCAGCGCTGCGGCGCATCTGGCTGCTCCCGCGCCCCCCTGGCGACCGGCGCCGGGAAGGCACTTGCTTCGCCGGAGCCCCAGGCCGAGGGCTCTCTGGGGTGGGCAGCACCGCCGCAGCCCCCGGCGGCGCAGGACTGGGGGCGTGCCCAGCCCCCGGCGACCACCCTCAGGCGTGCACTGCGCTGCGCCCCAGCGGTAGGGAGAGGCCCACGCTCTCCGCGGAGGCTGCGGGTTCCCGGGGGGCGCTGGGACCTGCAAAGGGGATTCCAAGGTGACCAGTCGACCCGTGCGGACGGGACAGCCTGGACGGAGGCCCCGTGGCATCCACCCATCCTAGGTGCAACCGCCTTCCCAGAACTTTTCTCGCGCCTCCGGCTGGCCGATTCCTTAGCCCCTGGAAAAGTTCTCTCGGGCGCACGGAATCCTATTTCTCGGTGGCTTCCGAAGCTGGCCAGGAACCCCGGCTGTGAGGCGTGGGGTGGGATGGGGACGTGGTGAGGGCTGAGCACGGCGGCGGGGTCGATCCCAGGAAAGGCTGGCCAAGCATCCACTCGTGCGCCCAGGGCGGGCTTGTCGGCATGGAAAGGATTTCGGCGCCATGAGGGTTGTTTGGGTTTCTCTCAGCAGGAGGGCGGGAGGCGGGCGCGAAGGGGGGATTTTAATTTCGCCTCAAATGAAAACGCTCTTCGCAAAGAAATAGCCCGGGCAGCCAGCGTTGGAGAGATGTGCTGGCCAGGACCCGCTGACACAGGTATTCTGGTTGCGCCCCCACCTCACCCGGTGCCCGAGAGCGAGTGTGAGTGTATCGATTGTTTCAATTGATTTTTTTAAAGCTAGATAGCAGAGGCTGCGTGTCTGTACACGCAGATATATACATACACAAATACAGATACTCAAGCGCACACAGATTACACGTACAGAGTCACAGACAAGGACACACACACACACATCGTGGTCCCTCACGCACACATACCTCCAAAGAGCCTTGGGTAACCTGGTGAGGTCCCTGAGTGCTGCCCAAGATGTGTGTGTGGGTGGGGACGCAGGGACGGAGAAAGGGGAGTGTGAAGCAGGATTTCCAGCAGGTCAAGTGCCGCTGATTCTCCTGCCCCCGACCCCAAATCCTTCCCTTTCTCCTCCTAGGGAGGTCTGAACCAGAAATCCCAAACCTGGGCTTGTTTCCACATCCACAGAGGGGAGGAGTCCTATCCCCCGGTGCCCCCCACCCTCACAACTCCTAAAGACTGCAAACGAGTCCCTCCCTCCTGTGCCAGACTCTGCCGCGCCAAGGCGCCGAGCTCGCTCAAAACCCCAGGCAACACTCACCCCCAGGTGGGGCCTAGACCCGAGGCCGCTGCGGGCTCGGGTCTCTGGCCTGCCTGATCCGGGGTTAGGGAACTGGGGAGGGGAAATCCGCGGGACAGGGGGTTGGGGGCGTGGAGTCGCGTGCAGTGCCCCAGACGCGCGGCACGGAGGAGCGGGCGAGGGCGCCCCCTGGACGCCGTAGTCAGTCAGTCCTCTTCTCACCCCGGGCCCCGCAGGAATGTAATCGAGGATGCTGGCCCTGCGGCTGCTCAACGTGGTGGCCCCCGCCTACTTCTTGTGCATCTCCCTGGTGACCTTCGTGCTGCAGCTCTTCCTCTTCCTGCCCAGCATGCGCGAGGACCCCGCGGCCGCCCGGCTCTTCTCGCCCGCCCTGCTCCACGGGGCGCTCTTCCTATTCCTCTCGGCCAACGCCCTGGGCAATTACGTCCTTGTCATCCAGAACTCCCCAGACGACCTGGGGGCCTGCCAGGGGGCCTCGGCCAGGAAGACTCCATGCCCCTCACCTAGCACCCACTTCTGCCGAGTGTGCGCCAGAGTCACCCTGAGGCACGACCATCACTGTTTCTTCACCGGCAACTGCATCGGCAGCAGGAACATGCGCAACTTCGTCCTGTTCTGCCTCTACACCTCCCTGGCCTGCCTCTACTCCATGGTGGCCGGCGTGGCCTACATCTCCGCTGTCCTTTCCATCTCCTTCGCCCACCCCTTGGCCTTCCTCACGCTCCTGCCCACCTCCATCAGCCAGTTCTTCTCCGGTGAGTGGGCCTTGGCGGGCAGGTTGGGCTCTACACAAAGACCTCCCACCCCAAAGGTTGCCGGGCCCCAAACCCCAACCCCAAAAGTTGCCAGATTTAGCAAATAAAAATACAGACCGTCCCGCTAAATTAAAATTTCAGATAAACAACTCATAATTTTTTAGTATAATTATGTCCCAGATATTGTATGAGATACACTGAGAAAATTTGCTATTGGCTATCTGAAATGCAAATTAAGCGGACATGCTGTATTTTATTGGTAACATCCCCCCTTGCCCCCATCATTCTCATCCATCATGCTGTCCATATGCTCACAGAGTTGTGGCATCCAGGTAATACACCTGCTCTGTGCCAGGCAGGACTAGGTGCTGGCCATTCCTCCATGTAGCCCCATGAGGTACAACCATGCTATGACATTCCTCTGCCTGGTCCCCAGTTCTGCTTACATGTCACCCAAGGACTCTGCTCTCCAGAGGTCTCACCAACCAATTGCAGTAATATTGAACTTGTTGCCAGCCCAGCCCAGCAGGAGGCTAAGCTCTGTCCTCCTGCCTATTATGTTTGACCTCACCAGCCTGTTCTCCAGCCTGCTGATGGCTCAGAGCAGAGGGAACGTGGGTGGGAGAGGCAGGTTTTTTGTTTTTTTTTTTTAAGACAGAGTCTCACTCCATCACACAGGCTGAAGCGCAGTGGTGAAAGCAATCTCTGCTTACTGTAACCTCTACCTCCCAGGTTCAAGTGATTCTCTTGCCTCAACCTCCCGAGTAGCTGGGATTACAGGTGCGTGCCACCACGCCACACTAATTTTTGTATTTTTAGTAGAGATGGTGTTTTACTGTGTTGGCCAGGCGGGCCTTGAACTCTTGACCTAAAGTGATCCGCCCACCTTGGCCTCCCAAAGTGCTGGGATTTACAGATGTGAGCCACTGCGCCTGGCTGAGGACTGCACTTTAACTAGTATGCACCAAGGACCACTACCTGATACCTGGCCCTAGAAGGACTCAGCTCCTGGTGGCAGTTCTTACCACTTTATTTGGCCTTGAGACTGGCTCCTACTGCGTTTCCTTCCACTTCCTCCCTACCCTGGCCTTTGACTCTGAATGGCTTAGCTTCCACAATCAGTAGTGTCTACGTGCTTGAGTGTGCATGTATAGCATTGCTATCTCCATTTCTCAGATGATGAAACCGAGACTCAGACGGGACTAAGTGGCTTGCCCAGTGTCTTCCTGCTACTGAGTGGCAGTCTCTGGTCTGCCTCTCAGGTCCTTAATCCACAGCTCTTCTGCAGTGGCTCAGGGAATAGAACATGCTTCCTCACCTGTTGGCCTTCTAGGAGCAAAGAAAGGCAGAGGGCAGCTACTTCCTCTGAAAGCCCAAGATTGTTTTGAGGTGCCTGGGCTGAACATTCATAAAAATTCTGCTCTACTCTGGGGGAAGCCATCATTTCAGTCTTTGTGGTGGCTACAGCCCAGTTCTTCCCAGGCATAGAACTATCATGCCATTTGGCAGTGGGAACACAGAGATACAGGGGGGACCCAGCTACGGGGGCTGCCTTCAGGGCTGGTGGCTGAGCTGGGTCCAGAACTCACAGCTTTCAGGCCTTCTGGATCCCAGCACTGGCACAGGAGGCTGCCGGGACCAAAATAACCAGGACGGGGGAGGGTGGGTGGGTGGGCTAGTGGGTGGAGTGTGAGCACAGGCAGGTGGAGGGATGAAGAGAGCCAACAAGCCTGCTTATACTTTCTTTTCCAAGTAGTTTCGCCAACCGTAAAAATGGATGGTTCCAGAAGGAAGACCTTGAAATGGTTTGATTTGAGATAAATCTGGGCTTGAGGCCTGTCCATATGTGCTAGGTTTGATCTGATGGGAGAACAGAGCCAGTGAGTGCCCACCTTGGGGCCCAGACTCCTGTGCCAGCATGAGTTCCAGTGTCTTTCACTTCCTCACCATATCCACTGGAAACAGGCGAGCAAGACTTCTTACCTCCAACTCTCCTATCTCATCTTTTGTGACCTTTCATCTTTCCTCTTGAGGACCTTCCTTTCTTTCCCTCCCATGACATACACCCCACCTGTTTGGCTTTCCCTTTCCCATTCCTCTTGTTCCCCAACCCTCAATCCGAACAGTTGGTAGCACCCTCTCTCATCTGCACAGGAGGACAGGTGGACAGAAAAGAGTAAGAAGCATGGGTTGTTTAATAGAAATTGAGTTCAAGATCAGCCTGGGCAAGATGGTGAGACTCCGTTGCTACAAAAATAAAAAATAAATAAATACACTAGCCAGGCATAGTGGCATGTGCCTGTTTTCCCAGCTACTCAGGAGGCTGAGGTGAGAGAATTGCTTGAGCCCAAGAGTTTGAGGCTGCAGTGAGCTATGATCATGCCACTGCACTCTATCCAGCCTGGGCTACAGAGCAAGACCCTGTCTCAAGAAAAAAAGAAAGAAAGAAATTGAGCTGTCCCCAACTGTGGTACAGATCTGAGTCAGATCTGTCACCAGAGCATGGATGGCTGTGAGTTTGGGCCTTGAGAGCTAAAAGTGGGAGGGGTCTTCTAGTGTGAAGGTGGCGGCCAACCACAGGCCCTCAGCTGATCCAGAGAGGGAGGCGGCTAGCTAGTTAGGTTTCAGAAGTTACCCTTTCTTTTGGCTTTGTGGGACCAGTACAGGTTGCTGTGTCACCTCTCTGAACCTTATTCTTATCTGGGAAATGGAGATGCCACCATCTGACCTGTATCTTGGCATTTGGGTAAGTACACCAGCATGATGGGTGCTACCAGAAAGTCCAGTAAGAGGGAAAGGGGACTAATGTTCATTGAGCACCTATTATGTACCACCCACTATGCATGTCACATTTCACCCATTCCTCTTGACAAGTCCATATTATCATGTCCATTTTTAAGGCTCAGAAACCAAAGACTCAGCAAGGTTAAGTTGCACCAACACCACACAGCTGGTACGATTCCAAACCAAGATTTGGAGTTGGGGCTTCTAGCCTCCAAAGCTCATACTCTTTCCACCCACCATACTGCCTCTTGGGGGCTGCCTCTCTGAAGCTGCTTCTCGAATGAGCCACTTTGGAAGGGAGGCAGCTACTTGTCCTTGGATGTATTAAAAAGTATGCTGGGTGATTATTTGTCAAAGGTGTTATAGATGCCTGTTGGGAGGAAGGGGCAGGGGAGATTGACTGATGTGTCCTTTTAGGCTCATTAGGAAAATTCTGTGATTTTTAAAAAGAGGCAGAACTATTATTAAATAGTTAAGAGGAGCTGAAGCAGCCAGGCTAGGTAACTTCAAACACTTTTAGAGAAAGCAGGTCCCCAGAATAGCCTTTTGTAGCTGCTGCATGGGGCCAAGAAAAGGCCGCAAGTTCTTTTTCTCATGCCTTGATTTAGTGCCAGGAAAAAACCCTGTGGGAAATGGCTTCCATCCACCCAGGCTTGTTCCTGGGGCAGTGTTGCAAGGCAGGCCCAAGCTTGACAGCTCTGATGTTCTCACATCCCAGCTTGAGGGCCACCTTTGCCTGTCAGCATTCCTCACGCCAAAGAGCACCATGGACCTGGGATCCTCCATCCCCCACATGGCTGCCCAAGCTAATCTGTGCCGACATGGAAGAAGTGGGTCAGGGGATGGCACAGCCCAATGTGAGCCCTGTCCCACTGCTGCCCCTGTGCCAGTGGAGGGGCTGCTGTAAATGGCAGCTGGGCCTATCTGTCCCCAGCTTTGTAAAAAAAAAAAAAAATAATACAGCTATCCAAGCTCCTAGGGATGAGGACAAGAGGAGGCTGCTAATGAGAGAATCTAAATCAGATCCACATCCTCCATGGCTGCTGAGTCCACCACTGCTCATACTGGACAAGTGTTGAAAGCCCAGTTGACAGGGCTTTGGAAATTGGAGGTTGGAGAGACTTGGGAAGAGGTGGGCTGGGGCAAGAGAAGGCTAGGGAAAGGGCAAAATATGGTTGAGATTTTCAAGGGCAGAATAGGTTGTAAGGTGGAGTCCTTAGAGGAGGTGCCCCCCCCCCACCAGAGGAGGTGATAGGGTTGCCCTACAGGGAACCAAAGGCTAAGGAATACTTTCGAATTAACTCCAGGGTCCAGTGCCCTGGCTGCTGGGTAGGTCAAGGTAAGTGTCTTTGCCACAGCTGCCAAAGTTGCAGCCCAGCCAGGACTCTAAGCCCTGAAAAGGAGAAGGAAAAAGCTTGATAGTTTCAGGAGTTGAACTCATTTTGGATGTAGTCTCCTGCTCTGTAAAATGACCCTCTGCTGGGAGCACCGCTCTGAGTGTGAACCGGAATGCTGACCACTCTGTACATCATTTTCTTGAAACATGCAGCTGTATGAAATCGTTAGTGTTATTATACCCATTGTACAGATGAACGAGCTGCAACTGAGAGGTTGGGACACTTGTGCCAGTCCACACAGCTGGGAGATTCAAACCTAGCATGGACCAGCCACCCAAACTCTGAGGAAGAGTGTGGGAGCTCTTACTCAGTGGTTATTTCAAACCAGTAATAGGAAGTGCTTGGTTTAGAGGGATTCTGGGGAGATCCTGCCCCACGACACAGGGCTGATGACCTTGGGGGCCTCTTCTAGCAAGCTTTGATTGACAGAACCAGCTCTGGTGGAATGCGGTGGTGGCCACACTGTCCTCTTGTTAACATTAATGACTGAATTATTCTCTACGTTGGTGTTCTGGGCTGCTCTTCAGACTAAGCTCGTGACTTATTCTTCCCAGATCTCCATCATGCTGTCATTTTCCTGAGTCCTCTCAACCAGCGTTCCCAGAACAGTAGGGAGAAGGTGCTGTGGACTAGACAGCTGCCCAGGCACCTGCTCCCTCTTTAGGGTCCCCAGCTCACCCCTCTCTCCTCCTGAGCAAAACCCCTTCACCCTGCTTCTAGCCCAAAAGGAGAAAGCAGAGAGAGACAGGCATCTCCTACTCTACAGAAATGTTATCAGCGGCCAGGTGCTGCCCCAGGAGCTGAGGGCTGTCCTTGCTAAGCTCATCAAACTTAGCTCTCTTCTCTGCCATGTCTCCAGTCTTCCCCTCTTGCCTCAGGTGCCATCCGCGCCAAGAAAAAGTTAGGGCAGCTGGTTCTTCCTTCCTCTCCCTCACTGCAGCTGCAGCGCTGAGGTTGCTACAAAATGTAGCGTCAATCTCATTAATCTCCCTCCCTCCCGGTGGAAAGCCTGCCTAGATCGCAGTTATGCCGGTGGCCTGGGTGTAAAGCGGCTCTGGTGTTTCCCCTCCCCGTGCCCTGCAGGAGCTGTCCTGGGTTCTGAAATGTTCGTCATCCTCATGCTCTACCTCTGGTTCGCCATCGGCCTGGCCTGCGCCGGCTTCTGCTGCCACCAGCTGCTGTTGATCCTCCGCGGGCAGACCCGCCACCAGGTGCGGAAGGGGGTGGCAGTGAGGGCCCGGCCCTGGCGCAAGAACTTACAAGAGGTCTTCGGAAAGAGGTGGCTGCTGGGCCTGCTGGTCCCCATGTTCAATGTCGGAAGTGAGAGCTCCAAGCAGCAGGATAAGTAGTAGACACTCCCGTCATTTATCTCTCTGTCTCTGTCTTGACTCCTCCTGAGCATAAAACCATGGCAGCCTTGTCTCCACCCATGACTCACTACAACCTTGTGCTGGTAAGGTCCTAGCATCTTCCCCTCACCTTCCACCCATGAGAACAGCGTGAGCTGGTGGATCATGACAAGGAGGAAAAATGTCCCCCCAGGCATTTCTAGGCTCCTCACGAGCCAGCCAGGTGGCTGCTAGCTGTTAGGCTGCCTCTGCTTTCTTTCCGTCCCCTTGGGATCCCTGCTTTCCCCCTCTTCCTGGCTCATCCATTCTCCACCGTGTCTCATTCATCACTGCTGTCTGCTAGAGCCCTTCCTCTCAGCCCCCATGTTGGGAGAGGGGAGTGGATTCTTGCTGCTGGTATGAGACTCCCTGGGACCTAGAGGCTGGCAAATGTTTAAAATCACCACGTGTAAGAGGCAGCCAAGTCAGCTCTGCCAACTGCTAGGGGAGTTGGGAAAGAGTGGGTGTGTGTCCGCATCCCCTCTGTAGGAAAAAGAACTTAGTAGCTTGCTGCTCCCTCACCACCCCCCACCAGGTTCAAGACCCTTTTTCTGGGAGACAGCAATCAATGGCCTGCTTTTTCCAAATGTTATTCCCTGTCCACCCTGCCCCATCTGGCCGGCCCAGCCCAGTCCAGGACCTGGCTGGATGCTTCCTGTCCCTGGAACTCTTCCAGCCTTTCTACTTGATCTCCAGCCCCCAGGTCTTTGCCAGATGATGGGAAGGCAAGGAAGAAGGGACAGGGAAAGATAATTACTGATAAATGAAGGGGATATTCGACTGTATAACCATATGGAAGTGTGTGTGTGTGTGTGTGTGTGTGTGTGAGAGAGAGAGAGAGAGAGATGGGTGGTGGTGAGAAGTGTTGTTAGAAACATATAGGAATAATGCCTAGGGGAAAGGGAGAAGTGAGAGGGACAATTGGGTTCATTTATGCCCTATACAAAGGGCATTCCAGCAGCTGAAACTCTTCAATGTTTGAATGGCTGCCTGTGAAGGTAGTGAGTGCCCCATCACTGGAGGTATTCCAGCAGAGTCTAGGCAGTCGTCTGCCAGGCATGCTGTGGAAGGGATTTCTGTACAGGGTCATTCTAGGTGAGCTTACACATTCCTTCCAACCCCAAGGTTCTGATGTCCTGGTTGTGATTGCTGGACCCAGAGGCAAGATCTGCAGAGATGCCTGTGAGATATTTGCTTTCCTAGAGGGGAGTGTGGGCATGGGAGGGGTCTGAAAATCAGGACCCAACCCAGCCACTGAAGAGAGAGTCTCTGCAGAGACAGGGCTACCTGGGTGGTTGAGGGGACTGACATTTGAGGACAGGGAGATGGAGCAGTGTCATTGTCAGTGGCAGGGCATGGGGGGCAGTGGTGAGCTAAGGCTGAGGAGTGGAGATGACCAGAATATAAGGGTGCAATTCCCAGACCATCCCTGCGCATCTGACTGACTCCGGTGGAGGCACTGCTGTGTGTTTTCTGAAACCTAGAGGACCAGACCTCTGGGGCATATAAGGGAGTAGGGACAACACAAGTGCCCCCTCCTGACTGGGTCCCAAAGCCAATATGACATCCATGCAGGCAGCAGTGCTGAATCCATGCCCTGCAATGTCCAACCGCCAACTGCAGTGACCCGCTGATAGCTGCGCAACAGCCTGGGTTCTTGAGCAGAGATTGGGAGGACTTTACTGTGGTTCTGCCTTCACACCCCCTAGAGAGCTAATGTAGTATTGGCTCCACCTGCTCACATTTCTCCCTCCCATACTCATTCCTTCACTCATCCATCCTACGTATATTTATTGAGTGCCAACTACGTTCCCAGCCTCTTCCAGGCACTGGCAATGCAGTGATGAACAGGATGACAAGATTCATGCCATCAGGGGCACCTTGTCACTGCCGTCTGTGCACTGATTCACACTCCCTGCAAAATGGTCACTCTGCCATCTTGGTGGTTGGTGGGGCAGGTCATTTGGAAATAAAGAATGTGATAGAGATGGCTGAAGAGGGGAAGCCTAGGCTGCCTCAATGGAGGAGTCGCTGGGGGCATTTTCACCCACAATTCTGGCCATACTTAAGCAATGGGAGGGAGAGGGAGGAGGGGAAGATCTGGGCAATTTTGGCCTTGACTCTTTCCTGGCTCCAGAGCTCAAGCTTAGAAGCCAGCCCTGCTATTTCCAGCCTCCTGAAGGCTCAGCACGGTGAGGCCTGACATCCTGGGGAAGGGCAACAGGGAGACCTACAGGATGTTGGCTGCTTGCAGACTGGTCAATGGGGGATGACGGTGGGGAGGTTGCCAGATGTGAGACTTGAGTAGCATTTGTACACATGGCCCTGTATTGTCCTTGAAGAACATCAATAAAATATATGGTTTTAAATTGGATTTGATATGATTGTATGGGCACTGTTGGTAGCAGGGCTGGACTGTACTGATGCAGCCATACTAGCTATTCAAATATTTAAAATAAGTATTGAAAATACTAAGAAATTCTTACAACTAAGAAAGTTGGTAAACAACCATGGCTCAGATTCTCTGAGTATCCTACCCCTTCTGCCCCTGCTCCTCCCTGGGGACCCTGGATTCACTCCACAATCCAGCAACTAAAGTGATCATTCCTGGCACATGCATGGGGCCCCCCAGCCCTGCTGCAGCCCTCAGTCAGAGTCCATTGTGATTTGTCAGGGCTGGGCTGTGTGGTGCTAAATAGGTGTCACCTCTGGTTGGTAACCAGAGGCTTCAGTGCTGGGTTGGTAACCAGAGGCTTCAGTGCTGGGGTCCATGGACCCACAGGGACCAGAGATGGAATATCTTACCTAGGAACTTCCCTTTTCCTCCTTCTCCTTCCATTCTTTCTCCTCCTCTCCCTCTCCTCCCCATATCAGAAGACAGGTGAGGAAAAGAGTGAAGAGAGTCCCTCTGCTGCTCCTCCACAGACAGAGCCAGCTTCTCCTAGGGATCAGTCAGGCCCCCTGCCCTCTCAGGCCCTGCAACATCTGGAGGTCTCAGGCTTCCCAGCCCTGGGGACAGTTGGGAGGGTGTTGAGCCTTTCAGGCAGTGGGCCCTGAGCAGACGAATGAGCAAGGCCTCTGATTCATCCTAAAGACACAAGGCCTGGACTGAGGAAGGATACAACTGCAAAGAGCTGTTGCAGAACCCTCAGCCTAGCCGAGTGTCATGGTGGTGTATGTTCCCTGAACACACACCAACAGGCGAACAGCTTTGCTGCAGGTGCTGGGTGAATGGAGCTGTGGTGAATCCTCAGCACATTCTAGAACATGGGCTGCCTACACTCCATGGGGCAGGCACCACACTTGCCTTGGTCACTGTCATATCCTTGATGCGTAGCAGGGGCTAGGCACACAGTAGGTGCTCAATGAATATTGCCTGAATGATGCAGATTTAGCGCTCACATGCTTACTCCACATCTCTTATTCCCATGCTGGACCCAGGACTGCACTTTGCACATCGTGGGGCTAGAAAACAGATGAGACCACTCTCTCTTCGAGGAGTTCCCATTCTGGCAGAGGTTTCTGGGAGTGCTCAGAGGAGGGAGAGAGCACATTCTGCTGCTAGGTCTGGGGCCTTTCCATGATACGGGGCCTGGAAAGATGGATGAGATTTCAGCAGGCAAAGAGGGACAGGGAGGGCTTTCCAGGGACAGAGAACAGGCCTGGGCCTTGGGGTATAAGGGATATCACAAAGAGGCAGAGGAGGTTAAGGCTGAGAGTAGGGACCCAAGCAGAGAGGGCTCTGAATGCCAAGCTAAGGGACCTGGAGGGCATTTGACAGGCAATAGGGAACCACTGAAAGTTCTGAGCAAGAGAGCAGCATGATCAGAGGTAGATTTCAGAAAGCGCAGCCTTGGAGGATAGACTGGAAGTGGGAGAAACTGGAGGTTGAGGGACCTGGTAAGAGGCATGTACTATATCTCAGTGAGATGTAACCGGGATCCGGGTGGGGATAGTGGTTGTGGGATGGTAAAGAGGGGAAAGATATCAGAGGCACTTCACAGACATGGAGCATGAGTAGAGGAATGCTAGGGAGGGGGCCCAAGATGGCCCTGAAGGTGAAAACGGGGTGATTGTTAGGAGGATTGGGGTGGAAAAGATTGTGACACTAGGGTTCAGGGCCATCTCATGCACTAGCCTCTGTCGTTGGCCCGTCAGATGGCAGTTGATGGTGTCATTCTTAACTAACCACTCTGCGTCCATGGAGGAAGGGGTTCAGGGACATCTGCCAGTCATTCTTTACAGCACAGCTCTCTGACTCCCACAGCAGGGGTAGAATCATCTGTCAGTGCCAATAGAGATCATGGGTCCTCAGGCCCATGTGCTGGAGTGAGATGCTTTCCATCCAGAAAGTGGGTACACTCTGCTTTGACCCATGCCCTAGTGTCAGATTAGGCAAGGCAGGAACTGCCTCACTCTAAGCTCCAGGAACCCAAGGAGTTTTGGAAAGACAACAAACTTGAGGAGACTTCAACCCAGGTCCCCCTCCACTGTAACAAGTCAGTCCTTAGGTCCCAGGGACCATCTGTTAGCCAGTCTTTCTCCTTAGGAAGATGACTGTCCTTGTTACTGTCCATGCATTTGGTCCTCCAAATACTGTGGCTTTTGTCTGTACCCAGTGTCCTCCAACTGGCCTCATTGCTCATGAGATTCCCCCTCATCTCCCTCCTGCCCTGCCTCTCAGCATGCCCTCGGGGATGCTTGGGAAGCAGCCCCTCCTGCCAGGAAGAAAAGGAAGGATGGGCAGGGAGAGAGGAGGCATTTCTCCTAACTTATCTGAGACACGTTAAAGATGAGGCAGAACCTTGGGCCTGCTCACCAGCCACAGTGAGCCTGCTGGTGGGGGCGGGAGGTGTCTGGGAGTAGCTCAGTTGCTCCTGGTGTTGGCCTCTGCTTCTGCTCTCATTCCCCTCTCTATTCATGGTACTGGCCCAGCTCCTCCACTCATTCTTCAAAAACATTCATCGATGCTGACTCTATGCCAGGCATGATGCCAAGAACCAGGAATGCAAAGATGAAAGAGACCCAGTACCTGATCTCAGGGAGCTCACTAGGAAGAGAACAAATTGCAGATGGTTGTGATTCAGTGGCATGAAAGTGCCGATGGGAGGACAGGGTGCTACAGAAGCCTGGCGGAGAGCACTTACTTTACCAGGGCGGACCTGAAGGCTTCCCAGAAAAGGCAACATCTGGGTCATGCAGGATGAATAGGAGGGGGCCAGGCAGAAAAGCAGGGCTGTGGGTGGGAGTGGAGGTAGGAGGGACTATACAGAGGCAGAGATACCAGGTGGTTTCTGGGAATTGCAAGTCTGCATTTAGGAATGGTGGGATGTGAGCACATACCTGCAGCCACAACTGCAGGTTTGTCCTCAGGCCACGCTCCCCATGGACCCTGCCTCCTTCCTCTGATCACTTCTTAGAAAACCCTAACTCACACCAGCTCATGGTGTCCGTTTGGATGAGTCAAGCATGAACTGATGTCTAGTTTTTCTAAAGGATCCGCAAGTCTCCAGGTTGGCGATCAAAGGTAGAAGGTTAAGTTCATTTTCCAGAGAATCAGCCCAAAGATGCTAGAGCTCACCTGGGAACATCAGAGATTCCTAGTCTTCTCTGGGCCCAAAGAGGGGTCTCTGGGAGCTCCCCATCACTCTTGCCTTCCTGCACAGCCTCAGCAAATGGCATTGGAAGGACACCATTCCTAGCAAGATGGCTTCCAGGACTTACAATAGAACTGGAAAGGCTGGAACCCTGAGATGTAAGCAGTGACCTTTTGTTATGTACAGTGCCCCATCTGGACTGGCAAGGCAGCTCTCTGCGTGGACCTCTGCACCCTGGTGGGCACCTCCCCACATCCTGTAACCTGGTGGCCCCAGCATGCCTCCTCCTTTAGCCTAGGCCCCTCCCAGCCCCTCCTCCACATCGCACTTCTCCATAGGACCTTTCTTCAATTGGTCCAGCCCCCTGGAAACCTTCTATTTCAAACTCCCACTACTGTTGGCAGCTCTCTGTCACTCTTACTCTCTCCTGTAGGTTTTGTCTCCTAACTACTGCATGCCCTTGGAAAGCAGAAATGGAGATGGTGGAATCCTTTAGTTTCCCCCTGTCCCTAGCATGGTGTAGGACACTAACATTGTTGATACAGTCATTCTACTGCTGGTAACAATGACCAAGATTTGCTGAGCCTTCCCTACATGCCAGGTGCTTGTCCTGTACACACTTTATCTGTATTAACTCATGTATTCCTCATAGCAATCCTACAAGGTATGTTTTATTATAACCCTGACGTTCCAGGTAAAAAAATAAATAAATAAAGGCACAGAGAGGTTGTGTAATTTGCCCAAAGCCTGAAGCTAGTATGTGGCAGAGCCAGGATTCAAACCCAGGCTGCCTGCTCCAAGGTCTATTTAACACAGCACTAGACTGTCTTTCCATTGTGGAATATTACAGACACACAATACATTCCCTGCTGAAAATTAACAAGGAGCCAAGTTTCTACTCATTCATTCATTGATCTGTTCATTCAACATGTTTATTGAGCACCTACTATGTAACAGGCACGGGTGGATACAGAGAAAGGAAGTAGGCTCAGCTTGTGCCTTGCAGAGCTAACAGTCAACTGCTTATGGTGACTTTGCCGGGAAAATGGGGGTCCCTAGATCTTTCCCAGCTAAGGATTATGGGCAGATTGCCCTGGATGAAAATACTTCTTCCAGGGCAGAGCATCAGTGGAGGTTACTGTCTAAGGACAGTCAGGGCTGAGGCTCAAGGATGATACCTAGTCAGGGAAAACGCCCAAGCTCTTTCTAGATGGCAGTCCTCCCAGGCGGTGTTGGGGTACCTGCAGGAGGGAACCAGACCCTGGCAGAGGGCCAAGCACAGCCCAGCACACTTCTACCCCCATCCTTGCAGACCAGGACACGGAGCCACCAAAGACTCTAAAATGAAAGTAGGGTGTGAGGAGGAAAACACCTGCAGAGCCTGTCTATGACAGAGGAAAAACTCTCCAGAGAGGGCAACAGACAGCTACTGAAGTGGGGTTGTATGTGAGGGTACCCCCATGGAAGGCCAAAAAGCTGTGTAGGAGGGGACCAGGGGGCTGACCTGGAACTCAGAGAGGAGCAGAGCTGGCGCTGAGGCCTTCCAAAGAGGCAGTCCTCTGTGTGGGCTTCTCCCCAGCCTTCCTGTCCCCAAATACCCCTTTCTGGCTGGCTTGTGATGCCTGAAATTCCCCTACCATGAATGTGTCCTTCAAAATAGTATTTTGGCTCCCCAGGCCCTTTGTTTCAAATTCTGGGAGGTATTTGCCACCAAATACCTTGAAATGAGGCTGCCTTCTTTTTCTGATTGACAGCTGCGATGTGGCCAGAAGCTGTCTGAAGGGGTGATTTTAGGTAGAGGGGAGGGGAGAGTGGTGCCCAAGGTGTGAGGTACTCTGTGGGGAAGGAGGCCCTGCGGGATGTGGTGACCCTGGGCAGGGCAGGCCAGAGGGGCAAGGACTGAGGTGGCTGGGGTGCAGGACTGAGCAGGACTGCTCCCAAGTCCTCAGTCAGTAAGTGGCATCCTGGAAAGATCACACTGTGAACCCGGAGTACCCAGTGGTTCTGAATCCCTGCGTGACCCTGGGCGGGTCACTGCCCTCCGTGAACACTGGACTCGCTCTTAGACTTGGCGAGGATTGCACACACCTGGCCCTCAATGGGGCACATACCTTTTACTTTGCCACAGACTCCCCCAACCATTGCCCAACCCAGAGCCACCCCACACTCTACCCTTGGCTATCTGGCCCCTGAAGGCTTTGAGTTTGTGACCCCTGAAAGCCAAGCTTCAAGAGGGCTCAGTTTTAGTTCCGACTGTGCCCTGGATGGGCTGCGTGACCTTCCACAAGCCCCTGGGCCCCATTCCGCAAACCTTCCACGTGGCCAGCGTGCGGTGCGGGGAGATGGTGGTGGGAAGTGGGAATACGACTGAACAGCTGGAAAGACAGGGGAGGGGAACTGACATGAATTGGATGCCCCAAGCAGCAGAGGTCACCAGCAGCAGGAGAAGGACGGTTCTTGCGTTTGCTCAAAGACCTCAAGGATTGCTGTCTTGTTCCAGGTGGAAAGAGAGGGAGGAGACCTGGGGAAGGAAGCCAGGAGGCGCAGCTAAGGGGCAGCGCGGCCCCTCCACCTGACCCGCCGGCCGCCGAGGGCAAAAATTCCCTCGCAGGTGCCGGGTACTTAATAAACAGACTAGCAGGGGCGGGGGGCGACGGCTCGCCGGAGAAAGGATTTAATTAGCAACGCTTTCGGGAGAGAAAATTAAATTACAGGAAGCAGTGGTGCCGGCTGCGGACCACAAAGACCACAGAATCCCGAAGCCGATTCCTCAGACCCCTGCGCGTGTCGGGACCACCTTTCCATCGCCCCAGCCGTGGGATGAAGGCCGCGCAGCGTGGGGCGTCTGTCTGGGCTCCGGCTGCGACGCCGTCGCGCGTGGCCTCCCCGGCACCCGCCAGAGCCCGCGGCCGTGGCTCGGGCCCGCCGGGAGGGGGCGCCGTCGGGCCTCCGCGCTCCACTCTCCCGGCGCGCGCGCCCCGCGCTTGGCTGCCAGTGTTGGCTGCGCGGGGACCGCGGGCCGCAGCCAACCTGGGTCTGCCTCGCCTAGCCCGAAAGGGCGAGATCATGGGCCCAGACTCTTGATGCCAGCAGTGGTCTTACTCGAAACTCATCTAAGCGTAAGGTGAGGAGAATCGGCCTGATGAGTGGGCGGCAGGTAGTGCAGGACACTGCAGTCTTGTCCACGGCCCGGGCCCCGCGCATCACCGCGTCTCCGAGAGCGCGCTCCGAGCCCAGCCCCTCCTGGGAGGTTCTTAGCCCTCATGTGCCACCGCGGTCCAGGGACCCACCTCCTCTCTGTCTCCTGGCGGGTTTTCTATTTGTCACAATAGCGACCATTCCTGAGCTCCCGCTAGAACCAGGCCTGGTGAGTGAGTACTTAGCTTAGGGAAGGCACCAAGCCCTGTGCGGTGTGATTTTTAGCCCTGTTCGGCGGAAGAGGAAAAGGAAACGAGCTCAGAGAGGCTGAGAAAGTCGCCCAGGAACACACAGCTGGGAAGACATTGAAATCCACATCCCATTGGCTTCTGAGCTCTTCCCCAGCAGGGGAGCGCCCGTTTTTCATTCTCAGTCTCTAGCACAGAGCCTCGCACGTGGGTGCTCAGGAAGGATTTGTTGAAGGAACGGCAGATTTTTCCTTGTTTGTCAAAGGGGGTGCTCATAGCTGAGGGGTGTGAGGATTAAATGAGATGGTGTGTGTAAAACACCTGGCTGTGCACTTGGAGCACCGTGAGCAATTAGTAAAAGCTGGTGCCAGTGTTAATGAAACTCGACAGTGCGGGGAAACACTGGGGACTTTGGTAAAATGTAGATTCTGAATCAGCAGGGCCTGTGACTCTGCATTTCTCATAGGCTCCCAGGTGTTGGCGATACTGCAGATGACAGTTACTTCGCTGTGTGGAACTGGTCCCCACGCCTCCTCACCCCAGCCCCAAGTCCAATCCCCCACAAGGGACCCACTGCAATTATTCCCAGCTTTGTCTGCCTATCTGCAATCCCCTGAGGAGCTTTAGAGAATATCCATGGGGGTGGGGGAAGGCAGGTCTTTTCCCCAGAGTCTGACAGGTCTGGGATGTGACCTGTGCATGTTCAAAGCTCCCTAGAGGTTTCTGCTACACAGTCAAGGCTAGAACCGCTATAGGGGAGGTGTCCGAGGAAGGCAGTAAGTGAGCAGAGGTTTGAGGAAGTTCACCTGATGCAGGTGTGGAGGACAGATTGTGCAGGAGCCTGGAGGCTGAGTCACCAGCTAGGAGGCTGGGCCAGCTAGGAGGCTGGATCTGGCTAGGGTAGGGCTGATTCCTCCATAGCTCCCCACCCACCAGCTGTATAACTCTAAAGGAGGGTGAGGACTGGGACAGGCTGGGGAGAGCTGGAGCGCATGCTTGGCAGGTATTCTGCAGGGTGTGTGCAAAGGAGGGGCTCTGTTCTGGGTGCAGCAGGGTGCCAGAGGTAGGCAGGGAGCTGGGTTGTTTTGCTGGCCACTGCCTGTATGTACAAAGTGGAAGGCTGGCCTTGGACTGAAGCCAGCTCAGAGAGCCCAGTCCTTGTTCTTGGAATGGCACAATTCACTTGCAGTAGCAATCTTATTATTGTTTACTGAGCACCCACCATGTGAGGCCACTGTACTATATACTGTACATTAAGGCACAACAATATTTCAGAGTTGACGGTAACTTAACAAATGAGGAAACAAGGTGCAGAGAGGTTATATAACTTGCTAGGATCACACAGAGACCAGATCAAGATCTAAAGCCATGATATTTCCATCTCACCAAGATGTCTGTACTCCTGCTCTTTCCTTTGGCTAAAACGCTATTCCCCTTCCTCTCTATACCTGTATCAGGTGAACTCCCTTAAAACCCCTCTGCTCACATTACTGCTCTCCTATGTTGTCTCTATGTAACTGAAATAATCCCTAAAAGTTGTGTTCTTCATCTCAAATGAAAGGGCTGTTTGCAAATGGCTGACCAGGCACGGACAGCTTATGGAAGCTCTACCCTATGCCAAGGCTGAGATCTCAATCACTACTTAGATCTCAATCATCGTGAGTTCCTCTCAAGGTCTCAGGGAGCTCCTGCAGCTCTGGTCTGTGATTTTCCTTGGGCACCAGGCACAACCTTGCGTCACTACTTTTCCTGTGGGTCATGACTCCTGGCTCAGATGCCTAGGCTCCAAGGCCAGGGACCACATGTATCTTTCTATAGACCTGGGCCTCAACAACTGTTTGTTGCAGCCAGAGCCAGGACTAGGGTAAGTCAAGCAAGGGGTCATGTGTATGCTTATGCTGGCGGCAGCTGGGGAAAGCAGATGCAGGTGCTGTTGTTGTGGGTGAGCTCAGAAGTCTGAAGGTGGGTCGCTCAACGGGATAATCTGCTGCTGCTAACTCCCTCCTAGTGTGCTTGGGTGTGTTGGGGTGGACTTATAGTTTCATATTAAGGACTCTTGCCCTAATCAAAGGGTGCTAACCCCAAAGGTTATTAAAGCATTATCTTTGAAATGAGTAGGACATATCACCTTGTCTAGGCTTACGCACCCAGCTTTGGATGTTTAAGACCTACAGAGACCAAAACTGTCAAAGGGGCAATTGACTAACTGATTGTCATTGCTACCTCCCACAAGACTAGAAGGAGGGACCAGGTCTGTTTTAGCCACCATTTTATATCCACAGCTCAGTCAGCAGCTGGGACATAAACGTGTTGAAAATGTGTTTCCTTGAAATAATAATGACAATGCTTTGGTCAGGTAAGCTGCAGGAATCATTAATACTTTCAGAAGAAGGAGAAATGTTCGGGTTTTGGAATACAATTTTGGGAGGAAAGGTGTGAAAATCTGAGTGACAAGGACCATGTTTTTGAGGATTTTTAAAGGTCCCCAAAGTGGGACCTACCCCAGGGCTGACCTGTGGCCTTGTGTTGACTGGTGCCTGCTCACCTCTGATCCTGTGGGTCCAAGAACCTTTTTTTCCCTTGAATTAAATATTTCTGCCATGTTGACTTTTTTTTTTTTAAATCATTCAGTGCATACTGTCCCACATGTCCTGATCCCCATGCAACTGGTGGGGCCAGGAGCCAGTCTTGGCCACGGGCTGAGCAGAAGTGACATTGTCACTGCAGCCCAACCTGACTAGTACAATCAGCAATGTTAGTAATTTACTAGCTAGGAGCTTCACGGCACAATTGATGTTTATAAAATGCTTCAAGAATAAAATCAGCACAGGCTGGAAAGCATGATACTTCTAAATACACCTTGCCAAGACAAGCATCAACTTGGATATCCTTTCAAAAAAATAAAAGGCTTTCACCTTGAAGTTCACTCTCTCGGCCTGTGAGAGCCCAGGGGACCATTATTGAAAACACACAGTCTAAACCATGCCTGTCACTGTTTTGTCGGGCTGTGGGTATCCGGGGCTGTTTGTTGTGACGGTTCACTGCCCTTTCTCTGTGTTTTGCTGAAGTGAAACTCATTTGCATTTCCTGAGCAGCCCAGTGATGAGAGGAGAGGCCCAGAAACCTTGCTGGAGCTCAGAGGGGAAGCAGAATGAAATGTTAACCAGCAGGACCACCAGGCTTCTGGGGCCAAGTTTTCCTGCCATTTTTGAAGACAATGCAGGACTCGTTGAGGTTGTGGTGCTCCATTTGTGTGTAACTTCTTTAGGCTTCTTCTCTTCCCCTGACTGGGCAATGTACTCACTTGTGCAAGGGTTGAGTGGAGATGATAATTTCAACCCAGCTCTCTGTAGAGACATGATTATTGTGGTTTACCATCTACAAGTGGTGGCAGGTCTTGATTTTTCAGGGCTTCTGGTTTTTCACTCTCACCCTCAAATGAAGGGCAGGCCCCATGCCAAGCGCTCCCATCTGTCCACCCAGCAGGCAGGGGCTTTGTGGGCTGTCCCCAGAGAATGGAGGCCTTTGCTCTCTTCTGTTATAAAGACACCAGGATGAACAAACATGCTTCCAAGGCCACTGCAATTTTTGGGATCTAGTGAGTCTGTAGGAAATGTAACGGCAGCTATTTTTACTCTCATGCTCTCCAGCCACTCTGACTGCCTTGCTGGAAGGATAATAATCACTCCACCTGCCAGGGCCCTCACAAGGGCTGGCCGCAGGATCCCACTTTCGGTTTTCATTCTCCTTCATATTCTAACAGCTTCCTCCCACTCCCTGGGTTATCTTCATATTCTATGGGCCCTTCTTGCTTTTTTGCTCAACTCATCTCCTCC
The DNA here is from genome assembly GCF_000001405.40 of Homo sapiens. NCBI lineage: Eukaryota > Metazoa > Chordata > Mammalia > Primates > Hominidae > Homo > Homo sapiens. Next base: position 77,120,824 of record NC_000014.9, on the reverse strand, counting down.
AGCTGCTGTAATTTAAGGCAGGAACCATACAGACTGTTCTTTCAAGCAATTCTGTCTTGCATAACCATCCTTTAGAAAGAGATAGGAAAGCCATGTGTTTTAAGAATAAAGGGGGGCCAGGCACGGTGGCTCATGTCTGTAATCCCAGCACTTTGGGAGGCTGAGGTGGGCGGATCACCTGAGGTTGGGAGTTCGAGACCAGCCTGACCAACATGGAGAAACCCCATCTCTACTAAAAATACAAAATTAGCCGGGCGTGGTGGCACATGCCTGTAATCACAGCTACCCAGGAGGCTGAGGCAGGAGAATCGCTTGAACCCGGGAGGTGGAGGTTGCCATGAGCCGAGATTGCACCATTGCACTCCAGCCTGGGCAACATGAGTGAAACTCCGTCTCAAAAAAAAAAAAAAAAAAAAGTAAAAAGAAAGAAAATAAAGGAAGGATTCTGAGAGGAAAAAACCAAAATGGTCACACATGGACCCACAGAACAGCTCCTTCCAGGAAGCCAGTCAAAGAGTAACCATCCTGGGTTGATATTTTCTCTCCTCTCATTCACTGTAAATGAGATTTTGGTAGAAGACAGTCTTAATTATCCCAAGCAGTCACAACCCTGAAGGGGCTGAATGCCATCACTTGAATTCCATCACTGGGTCTGTGAGCGGCGAGGCTGCCTTGCTCCGTAGAGCAGTTTTAAAACACTTTTGAGACATCACTTTTTTGCGTTGCACCTTCATCTCAGGATGTCAAGTGCATAGCGAGGATTATGCCCCTCCTCTTTTGATAAAGGAAACTGACGTAGCAGAGGTAAAGGCTGCAGGAGCTAGGGCACAGTCGTTGTTTTCTTCTGCCTCTTTCTCTCAGGGATTCTGATTGTGCTGTGTCACCCAGGCAGACTTCTCATCTCTAATCTCTCTTCTGGTGTAGATGAAAGGTTGACCCAAAAGGCTTGGACCAGAATAAAGACCTCACAAAGTATCACTGCATCTATGTCATCTCTGACTAGTGACAGTGAAAATAATGTTAAATCAACCCAAGTGGTTCTGTTTTTCGTTTGGCTTTTTTGTGAGACAGGGTTTTTGTCACCCAGACTGGAATGCAGTGGCATGATTTTGATTCACTGCAACCTCCGCCTCCTGGGCTCAAGTGATCCTCCCACCTCAGCCTCCAGAGTAGCTGGGACTACAGGTGTGTGCCACCACACCCAGCTAATTTTTGTATTTTTTAGAGAGACAGGGTTTCGCCATGTTGCCCAGGCTGATCTCAAAGTCCTAGGCTCAAGCAATCCATCCACCTCGGCCTCCTGAAGTGCTGGGATTACAGGCATGAGCCACTGCACGCAGCCCCAAATTGTTCCTTAAAACACATGAAGAGGCCAGGCACGGTGGCTCATGCCTGTAATCCCAACACTTTGGGAGGCTGAGGTGGGCGGATCACGGGGTCAGGAGATCAAGACCATCCTGGTTAACACGGTGAAACCCCGTCTCTACTAAAAATACAAAAAAAAAAAAAATTAGCGGGCATGGTGGTGGGCACCTGTAATCCTGGCTGAGGAGGCTGAGGCAGGAGAATGGTGTGAACCCGGGAGGTAGAGCTTGCAGTGAGCCGAGACAGCGCCACTGCACTTCAGCCTGGGCAACAGAGCGAGACTCCGATTCAAAAAAAAAAAAAAAAAAAAAACGAAGAAACATCATCCCTGGTTGTGCAGAGAGAAGTCTGAAAGGAAATAAGCTAACTAACACTCTCCCAAATACAAAAGTTACCTTCTTCATCTCAAATGAAATGAAAGGGCTGTTTGCAGATGGCTGACCAGAAAAGGAGATGATCTGATTTAACCCCAAATCATTCTCCTTTTGGGCCAGTAAGAATTCTTTGAGACCAGGTTTTTACATGGGAGGTAGTAAATCCACATTAGCTGCAACAAGATAATCATATGAAAGGCAACACCAATGCAGACTGGCAAAGAGCTTCTCCCAGAGTTCCATACAAAGAAGTTAAAAATCTGACAGAACACCGTACTATAAAACCATCTTACTGGAGGCCCTCAGAACCTCTTTTCTAAGCACCCCATGTTTTAAAAAATTTAAGCACCTGGGTGCGGTGGCTCACGCCTGTAATCCCAGCACTTTGGGAGGCCGAGGCGGGTGGATCACCCTGCCAAAATTCTCAGGAATTCGAGACCAGCCTGGCCAACATGGTGAAACCCCATCTCTACTAAAAATACAAAAACTAGCTGGGCGTGGTGGCACACGCCTATAATCCCAGCTACTTGGGAGGCTGATGCAAGAGAATCGCTTGAACCCAGGAGGCAGAGGTTGCAGTGAGCCGAAATCATGCCATTGCACTCCAGCCTGGACGACAAGAGCAAGACTCCGTTAAAAAAAAAAATTAATCTATTAATTCTATGGCTCACCTGTAACACAACTATAGATCTTACAAAGGTTAGCACTGCGATTAAACTTCAAGGTAACTAATTCAAATTCTTCATCATTCAGCTGAGAAGAGTGACATCTAGAGAGAGGTTAAGTGACTTATCCAAAGTCACTGAGTCAATGAGTAGTAGATATGACATGTGAATGTAGGTCTTTAGACCCCATCACACCAGGCTACAATCTGCAGGGATGCCATAAAAAAATGTGGATGAAACATGTTTGCAAACAGGCCGTCCTAAGGGGCAAGCGTTTCCACATACAGGAATCACGCCCAGGGGTGAGGAGCTGCAAACGCAAATAACTGGGTTCTCTTGAGCCTCTGAGGCTCAAATTTTTGTGCTCCCTCCCTTCTCTGGATTCCACTTCTTAAGGAAGGATGGTTCTCTTTATTTCAGAAGGGACCTTCTCTAGCCATATTTACCTATTTTTTGTTTCTTACTAGTGGCCTTACAGCTACATTTTAAAAAGCCACTTAGACAATTGTATAGGACAGAAATAATACTAGAAGAATTCGACTATGACAACCCTCCAGGCTTTTAGTGAGGTCAGCTTTTCATTTCCCCAGTGTCTTAAAGATCCCAGAAAGGGGCTCCTGACTGGCCTGGGAAACAGGGAGGACTCCACATGTCTCCCTGTTGAGATCTTCTAGGTGAACCCTGACAAGGAGCAAGGCTTGAGGAGGCAAAGGGGAAGGCATGGAGGTGTGCTTGCTAAGGACCACTGTGCTGTAGAAAAAACTTCGCTTACTGTGGCTTTAGTTTATCCCGGTATACAATTATAGTAGCTTTGTCACTTAAAAGTTCTATTTGTGAAAGTGTCAATCAGATGGAAGAAATCACTGGACTATCTTCACCTCTCACTCCTCCCAACCTGCCCAGTATAAGCCTCCAAGGCTCCAGAAAACAGGGGACTACTCATTTGCCATAAGGCTACTCATATTTCAAGTTCACACCAGTGAAAATCTGAGCAATGAATTTCCACATGTTCAGTGTCTAATCCCAATATTCCCAAATAACATGAGTACCTATGTTTAACATTTAAATCAGTTCAAATATTTACTCCAGGTTCACTCAGTATTTTTAAGCAGTTATAAAGCAAAAAGGCCAAATAGGTTTCAAGTAAGTGACTTTTATTTTTCTCTGACATTTCACAGTCAATTTCTGCAAAACTTCATACTTTCTCAAAAGAATTCACATTTGCTAAATAAATTTCTACCCTAAAGAATTCATAGCTGAAAAACCACTTCAATATATGCACAAAAGTTACTTTTCTGCTAAAGGAACCATAGTAGAAAATAAAAAGTCAGACAATACTATAATCAATAAAAACCAATGAGTGTAATAAATTACAAATGTCATTAAATTCCATTCCCATAACCATTGCAATCAGCAACTTTTCTATATATATTTCAATAATGCCAACAAAATCTGCCAAAAGTTCTCTTAAGGGTTGCTCTGAGCTAAAAATGGCTTCTCACCTTCAGAAAACAGCAGCTCTGCCACAGTACTTCATAGCCAATTACGTTATTCATCGCTAAAACCATCACTACTTACAGCCTTGGGCAACCGATGGAGATCTTTCTGGTCACCTCCGAGGTTCCTCCATTTGCTGATCTGGCTTCTGGACTCAATGGATCTCTCCTTCCAAGATCTATCTTCTCTACTTGGGTTCATCTGCTTACAGCTCCAACAGAGAACAAATGCCCATGGTAATAGCCTGGAGAGACTTCTAGCACTAAGTTACAAGATTAGAAAAGAGCTGAGAGTGGTGCTGCTTCTCCCTGCCACTCAGCAGTGAGGATTGATAGTGGCTTTCATCATCTTTTACTGAAACAGGGAGGGAAATGCAAGCCTTAATCTAGGAAGAAGAGTCCAAGAGGCTTATAGCTCCACAGAGGGTTTTTCCAATGGAATAAATTTGGTTCTCAGCAAGTGTTTTCAGATTTTTGACACAGTAAGACTCATGACTGGTGCCCAGGATGTTCTGAATGCACCTGTCTCTATAGCTTTGCTGCCAAACATATTCTGCCAAAAAGGAAGCTTCCTAGCATGGTGCACAGAGTAGAGCTGCTATAGTACCACACAGATTCAGGGGAAGCAAAGAGAGTGGGCCAAGAGAAAAATATTAAAAGGAGCTGAATCTGCCTAAAGACACATTTGCTCTGATTTCTGAAATTCTTTCAGAAAGCAAACAGCAGGTAATAATTCTGCGTTCATGAGTGGAGTCTAGGGATGTTACCAAGTTGTTCACTTCTACATCAGTCATATCTAAATCACACGTTTGTGAACAAAGTATAGGCAATCTGAAGCCACATACTTTTTAAACTATGTTAGAGTTACAACTACCTAGGAAATGTCATATTTAACTTCTGGTCTTGGTAAAACTTTTCTTTGCAGACAGGGTGAAGCTGAGCTGAGCGTGGTGGCTCAGGCCTGTAAGCCCAGCACTTTGGGAGGCTGAGGCAGGCGGATCAACTGAGGTCAGGAGTTCGAGACCAGCCTGGCCAACACGGTAAAACCCCATTTCTACTAAAAATACAAAAATTAGCTGGGCATGGTGGCAGGCACCTGTAATCCCAGCTACTTGGGAGGCTGTGGCAGGAGAATCACTTGAACCCAGGAGGCGGAGGTTGCAGTGAGCCGAGATCCCACCATTGTACTCCGCCTGGGCAACAAGAGCGAAACTCCATCTCAAAAAAAAAAAAAAGGAAGATGAAGCTGACCATATAGAACTTATTAAGATAATTTTGTAAAGAACAAAGATTTTCAAGAGGATGAAATTTTAAATTGAGAGAATATTTTGAAACTTTACTATTTAGAAACATAGTTGCCTATTTAATGAAGCTGAAAAGAACGTGTATCATCTGGAAACTCTGGTCATGGTCTCCATTTTGAGATGAACTTCATATAACCAACATTACACCTCTGGCTTTGTTGCCAATATCTAACACATGAAGGAAACACAGAAGACGCTGCTCTGTAACTGCTTCCCATCACTATGACATGGAACAAATAAAAATTTGGGATGTGAAGAAAATGGGTAAGATGCTTTCCAATTTTTTGTGGACTTATCATACCCTCAAGACAACTGTATTTAATTCAAAGTTTATCAAGCATAATAATCACTTATCAAAATAAAGGAAAAAAAAAAAAAACAAGATGGCAGCAGAGTTAACTTATACTACATCCCAGGAACCACTGAAACTATCCTTAAGATTTTTAGACATAAAACAGGTTACACTGTTTCAAAAGAAGAGAGAAAAAAAGCCTAAGTTACCAGAATCGTCCAGCTCCTGACCATGAGATATGCCGGCTATGTCTATTTTCTTCAGCTTCTAAGTCAAAAAAGCAATTCATCGACTACAATTCCAGATGTACTGCATTCATTCCATACCTTAAAATTTGGAAGTACTGTTTTTGCCTGCTAGTTTAAGAAAAATCTGACTTGTAATGAAAGTGTAGGAGTCAGATGGTACTACTCTTTCCCTTGATTTTCAAGTGTAAGAAAACAAAGCGTTGAGTGATTAAGTGCTCACACCCAGGTGCAACCTGTGCCCAGGGAATTTTAGGTCTCGCCCAACTAGTACGATGCCTTGTGGGATGCAAACAACCTCCTCTTATTTCTCTCTGTGACTAAGACAGGCAAGGGAAGATCCATGAAGGTTTCCTTGTGTCACCTACTCCCTGGCTCAACAGGTGTTGCTCTGTATGCTCATTCGTGTTACTGTACCCTTGATCCTGGTGAGAGAGTGGGATGATGGGAGGTGACAGCAGGAAGAGCCCCACACAATCATCTCCTGCTTTGCCCCATGATCCATTGAAGCACCTGCAGGCTAAGGAAAAGGGGCTCAAGGGCACTCCCAAACTGAGGTCCTCAGTGGGACGGGGACATATGTATCCTGTGCCCAGACTACGAGTTAAGACAGCAGCCAGGTATTGGCACGTGGCTTCCTAAGTGAACCACAACACAGTTTAAGTTTAGAAGGAAAAGCTCTTACATAAGCTTTGGGAAACAGGAGTAGGTAACAGCAAATGAGCTAAAAGAACCACTCAAGTAACAGGAAAATATGCCTCTGTGCTATATGGCTGGGTGATCAGAGAATGCTTCTAGGTCACTGCCTGTATTACTGGACCCAGGTGTTAAAGATGCCTGCAGCTTGGCCCAAGCCTGAGGGGCCCTGCTCTTGGTGGCTTCTATAAACAGCTGGGTTTGCTCCTTTAGCTGGTCTAGTTCTACCTGAGTTGCCTGATTCTGACGAATCAACTCCTTGGTTTTCAAAGTGATCTCCAGCAAACCAGATTTATGTAGGACTACTAGGGTATTCTGAAAGCGCCTATGTTTGCTCTGCCGCTGCTCTGAAAAGATATCTGGGCTGCGGCAGAGGTGCTCTGCAGCCCATAAAGGTGAGCTATAATTAGCGGACAGTGGTGAAAGGGGAGAGTTGCTCTCTAACCCATGGAGAGTGCTGTCTGATGCGCAGACAGGACTGGCGGGGGAAGCGAAGGTCAGACTGGGAGCTTTAGCCACGTGACTGCTGGATACCGGCTGAAGAGTCTGTGGACTTCCACCTGCCACCAGAGAGGGCACACCCTGCAGAGCTGAGTCCTCGGCAAGTTTGGCGCTGGGTGGTGCTGGCGTCGAGGGACTGGATGGGACAGCACCAGCCTTGGTTGGCTCACTGGAAGACAAGCTAGGCCCAAGTCTCTCAGTACAGATTTTCTTCTGCACTCCACTTGTTCCTTTTTCTTCTGGGCCAAGGGAAAGGCCCCTTTTGCCTGGATGTGGGGCTATTTTGGTGTAAGAATTCAGAATGGGCAAGTAGTTCCTGGAGTCGGACTTTTTCTCACCAGTGTGACATGGACTGACAGGAGATGGTACAGGTGGATGAAGGAATAAGAGCTGTGGCTGTGCTGAGATCACTTCAAAGGAGGGCTGGACAGTCCACGACTGGAGCTGGGATGAGCTGCTGCCCTGAAGACAAAGGAGGAGAGCAGCACACTACTCATTACTGCTGAAAGGATAGAGGAGTGAAGCTTCTGTCAAAGGGGCAAGTGGATACTCAAATGCTTAGAACAATTTCAAGGACAGTGCTTCTCTCACATAGTGGTTTGAACATCTATTTGTGTCTGATATCACAAATACTTTTTAAACTTTTTCTAAGGGAAAACTGGAGGAAATACCTATTTTTATTCAAGTGCTATCACTCAGAAAAATAAATGGGTAGGTAAAGTAATGACATAGCTAAGGTCACAACTGAAACAACAAAAATATGGATTTCCTGGTGTAAGTTAAAATGTGACTTTACACCAAAGTGTATCTTCATTTAGTCACACCTGGAACCTCTTTTACCTGAAAATAACTTTTGATTAAAAAGTAACATATTGGGCCAGGTGTGATGGCTCATGCCTGTAATCCCAGTATTTTGGGAGGCTGAGGGAGGTGGATCACCTGAGGTCAGGAGTTCGAGACCAGCCTGGCCAACGTGTGAAACCCCGTCTCTACTAAAAAATACAAAAAATTAGCTGGGCTTGGTGGTGTGCGCCTGTAGTCCCAGCTACTTGGGAGGCTGAGGCAGGAGAATCGCTTGAACCTGGGAGGTGGAGGTTGCAGTAAGCTGAGATTGCGCCACTGCACTCCAGCCTGAGTGACAGAGCAAGACTTGGTTTCAAAAACAACAACAACAACAAAAAAAAACAGAAAGAAAAGAAAAAAACCCATATTGTCAGGAGTCTATGGGTTCCTGTTTTTAAGGCAGTGACATCCAACAATCATAAAACCATTCAAAATAATAACAGCTACCATGTATTGGTGCTGATTATAGGTTACCACTATGTGTAATGTTTTACATGAGTTACTTAATCTATTTAAAACCCCATGAGGCAGTTACCATTTCCCTTCATAAACAGGGAACTGAGGCTTAGAAAGTCGAAAAAACTTGTTTTAAGTCATCAAGTTACTAAGTGATGCAGTTAGGATTCCATCCTCTGTCTGACTCTAAAACCCATCTGAGCCATTCTGCTATACTGCCTTTGTTTATTACTCCTCAATTATACATTATTTTTTAATTAAAGTATTGATTCAGACGAAATCTAATAAAGAAGGACATGGCTACTTGTCTCCAATGTTTGAAAGCCAATCCAGTTCCAACCTGGTCCCCAAAATCTGAGTATAGATAAAGCCAGGCAGAGGGCAAGCCTGACAGAGTTTCACATCATCAGTGGGGTCAGGTGGGGTCATTTGATTTATCTGAAGAACATTACGAACTGTCTTCCCATACATGTACATGCGCGCACCATTTTGCACACATTTCAGTTTCTTGGATGCAAGGTTAGGAACTTTAGGCCAGTTCATTTCCCATGCAAAGGCTGGAACGATCTAGAGTCCTCTTGATGTTCAAATATACTCCGGAATATACTAAGGCAAGCAATGCTAGGGCCAGAAACCATATTTCCTTGTCATAGGAGATCCAAAATCAAGAGGTCTTTTGAAGTAGAAATCAGCCTGTTCCAGCTCAGTCAGAAGCAAAACTTCATGCCCTCTCTAGGGATGACCTACAAGGCAAATGGATCTGGAAAATATCTAATGCATTGTTTTCCCATGATTTTACTGGACTGTACTTCCTAATGCTACTGTTATGCCCACTCTCCTAACAGATACTTAGCTGACTTGTTCCAATTATTAGATTTTACAAATTGTATTATTCATGTGGAAATCACCTGAGGGAATACAGAACAAAATTTTAGACTTGGACAGGATCTCAGAATCATTTCACATAAACCCTTCATATTAAAGATGAAGAAACTGATATCCATTGTGGTTAATTATGTACAAGATCACACTGTCTAATGACAGAGGTGGAATCAGACTCTCAAAAGAAAAATATCTAAAACCAAGCAGCCATAATCAAGACATTACACAACATGCAGAGTTTTAAATGTGTATCATTATTTTAATTTTAGAATACGCTAGATTCTAGTATGTTTTTAAAAAACGAAACAAAACTCCTAGACTACTCCCTTAGGTCAGCTTGTCCCCAAGTCTCTTAGCTCCTGATCAGGCCCAGCAGCTTTTCTGGCGGGTCTTTGTCTTAAAGAATGTGGCTCTGCTGGAAAAGCCTACTCACTCCGTAACTGTGTGTGTGGGCTGTTCTCAGCCTTCTGGAGCTGCCAGCCTAGCCTACAACAAAGAAGGGATATAAACACAGACACAAGAAAGGGACAAGGAAGCCAGAGAGGAAGGCAGGGAGAAAAAGAACTGGGAGAAAGGAAGCCCAGGAGAAGCACTGGCAGCACTGGTGGGGCCGGAGCAATCTCATGTGGGCTCCGTTTCCTGTCTCTATTCTTTCTTTTCCTTTCAATAAGGAGAGCCATGCTTCCAGCTGAGATGTGATTTACCAAGCAAAAATCTTCAAATTCCTTTTCAGAACTCACCAGTCTGCCTTGTTGAAAATCAGTTTGTGTTCCTCATATACAACTAGGTAATAGCTAAGACATTAAGATTTCCTGTCAAGTTAAAGCCATGTTCTCACCTTTTACCCTAAGGGGGGAAAAGTCAACTACTCAAGCCAGATTTAAAATTTCACTATCTTCAAGTAGCCTCATCAATGGACCCATATGAAAACTGATATATTTTCAGAGGAAAGTACGGTAAGATTAAATTTCTTTGGCTGAAATCAATCTTTTCTATTCTCAGACTTCTCTATTCTAACTTAACCAAGTTCATATGATCAAGTTCTCAGTTTCAAACACTAGAGCTTAACTTAGATTTTCATCTAAATCTTTTCTTTCATATCTAAACAATAATCATATAATAAACATAGTTATGTAATAAAGCCCCAAACAGGATGTGTTTCCACTCCACAACACTGTGTGGATTCTGCTGGTATTCCCATACTTGAACCAGGAGCAGCTTCGTCACTAATGACAGGCTCTGGCTGACTACTAAGAAAATGCTCAGTATATGACATAAGAAACAGGGAAATTGCCTCTACTTCTGAGATAAATGCATTCTACATTCCTAAATTCCCAGGGCAATCCATATTAAAAAGAGCATCTTTTGTTTCTACCCTAAACTCTGCCATATGTTAGAATGCACCATTGAAGTGATGCCATTTCTGCTTGGTTCCTTTATATACATTTCAGGGTCTCTTTGGACAAACTATGAATACAGAAATAAAACAACCTAACTGTCTGAAAAATGAGAACGCATGTCATGATTCTTATATTCCTTTTTAAAACAGTGTCACACTTGAAAGATAACATCCGCTCCCCAGGACAGAAAGTACACATTGGTGTGGTTCTAATGGTCTGTTTCTAAAATCTCTCCTTGGCAGAGAATATAAATCTCTTCCTTTATACACGGAAGCTAAGAGATTTTTATTTGCAAAGACTTTAGGTGATATTAGTCCTCCTCACCTGTTTGACAAGCACATTCTTCATGACGACCATGGGAGACAGGGTAGGGAAGGCATTCTTTGCAGTTTTGGAGTTCTGCCTCGGCCTGTCTTCTCTGCTCCAGCCTAAGGCGCTCAGCATGTCCTCGGACTCCATCTGCTCTGCAGAGCTCAGACATTCCGAGCTCCCATCTGGTGGGCAGAAGAATGGTCAACTCACTCAGGCTCTAGACTAGGGGCTCTTAACCAGGCTCCTAAGGAGCTACAGACCTCTTGAAATTGAATGCAACACTTGTGATGTGTTTTTGTGAATTTTATTGAGAAGGAGGCTTTTAGCTTTCATTGGCTTTTCAATGGGATCTATAATTAATCCCTCCTCCACCAAAGATTAAGAATTATTGCCCTAGGACGAGTTTGACTTCCTTTCTAACTCTCTTACAGACAAAAACCTGCCTCAATTAGGGCTCACATGAAAGTAATCATCATCAGTCTACAGGAGAAATGAGTTCAAGGTTTCAAAGTTAGTTTATTACTTTCGAGAATCTATGTTGAGAAAGGAGACGAGTATGGCCCAAGGTAGGATTAAGACCTTCAGAGGCTCTGGGTACCACAAGATGTAATTACAATTAAAAAAACAAAACCAATCTGTAAACCTCAAAACAATTGCATTTTCTCCAGCTTAAGGAAGACTGTATGACTGGAAGGATATACATCAATGGAAATATGATTTAGAATCTCCAGTGATACTTTTAAAAAACCATAAATGTTGGGATCCTTCCCTTGATCTACTGAAGTGATTTACCTGGTTCCATGGTAGGTGTATTTCACAAAACACAAGTAATCCAAATGTACACCTCTAGTTAAGAACCATTAGACTGAAAACAAATGAGCCCAGAAGCAATGTACATATTGAGTGCCCAGATCTTGGTTTCTAAATGCCATTCTGCACATAAAGGAAATGAGGGGTCCTTGGAGAAACAGCTGATTCCAAGACTTTGACAGGGAAGATACGAGATGAGCCTGGACAGCTGCTTGTCCCAGAAAGCAAAGAAGTGCTCAAACACTAACAGAGACATGTCAACGAGACACAAGAGCTATCTTGAGGGGACTCCTGCTGGTCAAATTTGAGACAATTTGAGTATCAGAAATGATGATTTTAACAGGTTGACAAACTGAATTACAAAAGAATTCCATGACTACATTAGTGATACTCAAAAGAAGAGGGAGGAGGGAAAGCACTTTTTACAGAAGAATGTCAGCTAATGACGTACAAAGAATGGTAAAATTAGAAGATCACCCCCTTTTTTTTTTTGAGACAGAGTTTCGCTCTTGTTGCCCAGGCTGTAGTGCAATGGCATGATCTTAGCTCACCACAACCTCTGCCTCCCGGGTTCAAGCGGTTCTCCTGCCTCAGCCTCCCGAGCAGCTGGGATTACAGGAATGCACCATCACGCCTGGCTGATTTTGTATTTTTATTAAAGACAGGGTTTCTCCATGTTGGTCAGGCTGGTCTCGAATTCCTGACCTCAGGTAATCCACCTGCCTCGGCCTCCCAAAGTGCTGAGATTACAGGTGTGAGGCAACGCGCCCGGCCAAGATCACCACTTTTAAACCGCCAATGTAATGATTCAGGCAAAGATCATCAATGGATGCTAACTCTGGTAAACAGTTTGTTGGGGAATAGGATAGTCACACAATTATAAAGTATTATCCCATAAATTACTTATTAATTACAAAGAGAAAAGGGTACTTTAATGGTAAAGAAATCTGTACACACTATCTTAGCCAAGTGATCAACCAACCAGAGCATCACCAAGAGTAAGACTAACTTATGAGTCTCCAAATGTGTTGCAATGGGAAGGATACAACATCAACAACATAGTATTCTGGTCAAGATGCTAATCCTGACCCTAATAATGGGGACACTACCAGAAAATCCAGAGTGTGAGACATTCTACAAAGCAACAGGCCTGACTCATTCAAAGATGTCAATGTCATAAAGAAAGAAGAAAGAAAAAAAGGAAAGAAAAGATAGGGGAGTGGTTATAAACTAAACCAGACTAAAGGACAGGACAACTAAATGCAATGCTCAATCTTCAGTTGGATTCTGGATCCAAAACAGACAAAAAGACAAACAGCTATAAAGGACATTATTGGGACAATGGGGGAAAATCTGAATATGGAGTGTAGCTAATGATAAGTATCAGTGTTAAATTTCTTAGGTATGATAATGATATTATAACTACATAGAAGAATGTCCTTGTTTTTAGGAAATCTGTACTGAAGCTACATGGGGTAAAATGTCAAGTGTTTGCAATTTACTTTCAAATAATTCAGAGAGAGAGTGTGTGTGTGTGTGTGTGTGTGTGTGTGTGTAAAGAGAGCGAGAGAGAGAAAGCATATATGGCAAAAAGATAGACATATGGGGTATTCATTTGCTTTTGTATAGATTTGAAATTTTTTGAACTACAAATGTGGTAATTAAAATGGGAAAAATTGTCTTGATTTTGCAAATTTCATCCTACTCCAAGGTAACTGGAATAACTCAGGCAGTGAGGAAATCACTGGCACCTGGCCCAAGAGTGGCTCGAAGCATTCCAGTGGCATTCACTGGGGCTACTTTCTGGGGCATAATGAGTTTGATTATTTTAATACCACCTTATATCTGAGTAGTACAATATTCTTAAAACAACTGGCCTGACAAAGTTGAAGTTGTTAGAAGTGTCAAAATGTCAACAGTACTGGAAATAATAGATGGTAAGATTATGGATAATGTTTTTCTTCTTCATGCTTTCCTACCTGTCCAAGCTTTTACAATGAGCACGTATTCATGAAATGAAACATAAACAAAAAGCAAACGTGATATTAAAAGAAAAAAAGAGGCACTAGGCCTCCAGTGTTTCCCAAACCTGTCTGATCATACAACAGAAACACTTGTTTTTTAAAAGAACCCACATTCCAGGCCCTGTCCAGACCCTTGAAAGAGTCTCCAGGAGGGAGATCTGGTGATCAATATTTTTAACAAATGCCTCAGGTGAGCCTTATGATGAGGCAGGCTTAGGAAACAATGCTGAGAGAGAGAAGAAAAATCCAAAGGGAAGGTTGGCCCGCCCTTCCCTGGACTGTCCTGGCCCTGGGCAGGGCAACTAATTCCTTTTAATCTAATCCCTTGGTTGGCGCTCTGTTCCTCTTTGAGCAACGGTCTATTTATAATTTGCCTTTTCAAGCAGCATGCCTACAGGGAGAAAATATGCCAATCTAAAGACAAGAGAGTTCTAGTTTTCCTAACAGCTGCATTTCTCACTATAAGTTAATAAATCAAAATTGATTGATTTGTCTTTGTGAGTCTGGATAATATAAATCTTCTCCTTGAGAGGGTTCTACTCTCAGGATGTTGACTTGACCAGAATCCCTCAGCATCACCCCTCTGCATCCCCGCGCCAAAAATCACACTAGCGCCATATTCAAGCCACTACCCTCAGAGCGGGAAATAAAAAAAGAGCCCCAGCACAAAATTGAATGATTCAATATATATGCAGCTAGCCCTTTTGGGTAAGGTTTAAGAAAAACTTGTAAGGAAAACTGTTCTATTTTCTTATCTCTAATAGATACTCAAGTTTAGAGCTAGGCCAGGTGGCTCACAGTCCAAATACAAAATGCATAGAGACTGGGGGGAGGGGTTGTTGGAGGCGTACATTTCTAAACACAGCGAAACTACTTTCTCAATGAAAAAGTTACCTTACAAATTATATACAGTATTACTTTTATTTAACTGGCAGTCTTCCAATTTGTTACATGGAAACTACATGCAGTAGCAATTTTTCCCCTACAATGTAATAATTCCTGTGAAAAAGGAAGTAAAACAACAGAATTATGAGTATTTAAATATTTTTTCCAGTGACCAATTGCAATAGTTGGAAGTGTAAGATTCAGAGTCTAAGTTGAAAAAAGATGTTAAATAATTCTTTCAGAACTAACCCTGTGGTGACTTTGATGGGTACCCTGACATATGGCATCAGAATTACCATTTTAAAGCAGGTAAGTATTTATCCTGTGTGTGAAAGCATCCCATCCTTATCACATAAATGAGTTTTGGGGAGGAAATTTTTCACGCAAAGCATTCACTCACAAAACAGAGGAAGGATAAGATATTTTTAACCTGAAAAGCCAGAGTCCTTGTCTGACTCAGCAGCAGCCATCCCAAGCTGACGAGCCACTTTCTTCATCTCTGTGCCTTTGCCTACTTTGGCAGAGAGTCTTCTGGGGCTCTCTCTGGATGGGTTTTTCCTCTCCATGGTTTATTCAGCTGGAGGCAGATTCATTGGTACTCTTTTCATCTGGACTGCCCTATGAAAAACAATTATATAAGAAGTCACTGCCTGGAGAGCTGAAACAGGTGATCCAAACAGTGAATAAAGTATGGGCAAAGAACACTGGCCTCACCCACTTCAGCTTTATTTTCTCAGAGGTTTCAACTGACAAAAGCTTCAAGTTTACTAAACAGAATGGTTTCCACCCATAAGGAGATTCACAGTCCTCTGGCTGCCCTCTAATTCCATTACAAATTCAAGGCACACAAACCACATTCAGCATTCGCTTTGTAAACTGCTAACAAAGGCACATTTGATTAGGCTTTTTCCAATGGGTAACGAAATGAACTCACCAGAGGGGAGAGGGGACAGGGGAGTGAAGAGAAGGGAAAAGGAAGACAGGAGAAGAGAGAGGGCAGAAGGAGGGGGAGAGGGGAAAGGGGAGAGGAGAAAAGAGACACCGCAAGGCTTGCTTTCCTCGTGTACATTTGCAGGCTCATGACCTATTGCCACCTCCCACAGTGTTGTGTTTCTCAAATTAACCTCTAAATCCTTTGGCTGAGGTATTGAACAGAGAGCAAAAACAACTCCCTATACATGCATGCTACTTTTAGGCTTAAAAAACACTTTTATGGGCAAATAAAATCATATATAATAAAGAGCTTATAATATGCGTTGCTATTAGTGTTATCTCACTTGAGCCTCACAATGTCATCTTCAGTTGCTATCTCACTTTACAGGGGAGGAAACTGAGGCTCAGATAAGTTACATTCAATCATTTAAAAATATTTATCAAATGCCATTGTAAATCAGGCATTGTGCAAGGACTGGGGATATAGAATGAACAGAATAGGCATCTGTCGCTTCCTTCTTGTAGCTTATGATCTAGAGAGAGACAGTCATTAATCAAGTAATCACTCAACTAGCGACCATTTTGATAAGAGCTATAAATGGGAGAGGCTAACAGTCTGGGGGACTGAGGAAGTGCACCATAGCTGGGATCTGGAGGATTGGGAATTAGTAGGAGTTAGGCGAAAGGCATGTTCCAGGCAGTGTGAAGGCCCTAAGGGAGCAAGGGGCTTGGCACAAACAAAGAACTGAAAGGCCAGGGAGGCCAGAGCACAGTGTAGAAGGGTACAATGCCATGCACTGATGCCAGACTGGTAGTCAGGGAACAGACAGGCAATACCTTGGAATCCATGTTGGAAGGATTTTAGATATTAACTTAAACGCAATGGGAAGCCATGGAAGAATTTTAACCAGAAGTGTGACATGATCAGATGTGCATTTTATTTATCTTATTTTTTGAGACAGTGTCTCACTCTGTCACCCAGGCTGCAGTGCAGTGGCGTGATCATGGCTCGCTGCAGCCTCAACTGCCCAGATGGAAGCGATCCTCCCCTCAGCCTATGGAGTAGCTGGGACAACAGGCATGTAGCACCACACCTGGCTAATTTTTTGTTTTTTGTAGAGACAGGATCTCACTTTGTTGCCTCAGCTGGTCGTGAACTCTTAGGCTCAAACAATCCTTCCACCACGGGCTTGGCTCTGGGCCTTGGCTTGGCTTGGCATCCCAAAGTGCTGGGATTACAAGTGTACACCAGCTTTGCATTTTAAAAGCATTCTGGATGCTGAACTGAGGCTAAAGTGGAGAAGGGCAAGAGTGGCATTGAGATCATTTAGTTGCTACCGTGACAGTCCAGGTGAATTAAGGTGGTGGCAGTAGAGATGGGAAGAAGAAAAACATGGAGGCCCACCTGATGGGACTGGGTAGGGGGAAGATGGTGGTACCACTTTCTCAGCTAGGGAGCCCAAGAAGTGCACAGAAGGGAGTTGGGTGGGTGGGGCAGGGTGGCATGGTCATGTAGATTTGGTCATGTAGAGACTGAAGTTACTGTGGGTCATCTAAGTGGAGATCCTGGGTAGGCAGTCACATGTAAGACTGAAGCCCAGGAGAGAGGCCTATATTTGCTCCAGTGATAAACAGCTAGTCCACAGCAGATCCAGACCTAGATCAACAGTGCCAAGAATAAGACCAATTGGCCCTTCAAATTGCTGGCTGAGAATAAGAACATTCCAGATATTTTAACATGGCCATTTGAGTCACCAAGGAATGGCAACTGTAAGGCCAGCATGATAATAACACAAGGAATACCACTGGCATAAGGAGAACAGGCCAACAGGGAACATGACAATAATGAAACTGGGAAGATGCAAGCAAAGCCTTGTGATGTTTTAATTCACGATGCACTCCTGACTCTATCCTGTTGTTCTTTGAGTGAAGAAAAACACAAGCCCCCTGCCAAATACCACTGTATCTGGAATACCCTGGAGTGCCAAGTCTGGACATTCCTGCTAATATAAGATCTAGTGAAGAACATTAACTACCCTAGAAGCAGTTCAAAATAAAATTAAATAGAAGACAAGGATGCTTATAAGCAACCCTCTTGCTCGTACTTTTGCATACTGTAGGAGCAGACTAAAGGGAACACAAACTGAACTGAATGAGAATGAATTTTAAACACAATTCCAAGTAAAAATCATTTTGCCCCGTATCTAACTCATTTAAGGGGACTGGCTTCCTCATTCAACTGACATCAAATCAAGCACTCTTCCACAGGTCACACGTTTAATCCTATGTGCATAAAAGATAAACAGTGGCACTGTCACAACTTGCAGAGAACTATGCAAAAGCAATGTCTATCTGACAGCTATGAAATTTGACAGCATGGACGGCCCAGCTTAAAAAGTAGACTAAAGTGTAAAACTATATCTCTAATTAAATTGGATCCTTTTGTATGAAATTCAACAAATGTGCATAGTATAATTTTCCTAAAATAATACTGTCCAAAAGTGAATAGAAGCCATCTCCAAAATGGAAGTAGATGAGGCTTGTGGATGGGCATTCAAACTAATTCATGTCGGACCAGGCTGTTGATTTAGATTAGGAGGGTAGCTCATGTTAGTTGCAACTAATTAAGAACCTTACTTAGGTTCTTAGGTTCTTGAAGTTTCACATTATCTTACTAAACATGGATTATTTTACAGGTACTTTAGATAATGCATCCCAATTTAGTCTTCTACAATCCTTGCGGCAAAACAATGAAAAAGGTCTTGCTATTATTATTAAAGTGTAGTCAATAGAGCTACAGAAAATACACAGGAATTTATTCTGGCTTATTGAGAATTTGTAGGATAAGAGATAATTGATCATGGAGTCAAAATACTGAAACACTGACAATCGGTTTTTGAGGCTCAGAAAATAATACTCCCAAGTATGGCACTTTAGCATAATGAGCACTTTGTTGTTGCTTTTTGTTTTTTTCTGAGACTGTGTCTTGCTCTGTCGCCCAGGCTGGAGTGCAAGGCCACAAACACAGCTCACTGCAGCCTCGACTTCCTGGCCATAAAGAAATTATCTGACCTGTCTTGTCCGATAGCAGATCATAAAACCCTCATTCCAGAATGGGTCCTGCCCTATAACAGAGAGGAAGGAATGCTACACAGAGGTCAAGAATAATTCTGGACAGACAGACCTTGCTGGGTTTCCCACCTCAGTCCATTACTATTAGATCATACTCTTTTTGTTTTTGTTTTGTTTTTTATTTATAGATGGATCACACGCTGTTGCTCAGGCTAGAGCGCAGTGGCACGATCACAGCTAACTGCAGACTCGACCTCCTGGGCTAAAGTGATCCTCCTGCCCTAGCCTCCTGAGTAGCTGGGACTCCAGGCGCATACCACCACACCCAGCTAATTTTTAAATTTTTTGTAGAGACTGGGTCTTGCTATGTTGCCCAAGCTGGTCTCAACCTCCTGGACTCAAGCAATCCTCCCACCTCAGCCTCCCAAAGTGCTGGGATTACAGGCATAAGCCACCATGCCCAGCCAGATCATACCCTTTTTGTCCAATCATATTTCTACACAGCCGTCCATTCTTCATCAAACCTAACCATAAAAATAGACAGTTTTCCCTGAGTTTGGGAGGCTTCACTTCTGAAGACTCCTGTGTCATAAAAAAAACTTTGATTAAATAAAACTGTTATGTTTTTCTCTTGTTAACCTGTCTTTTGTTATGGGAGGGTCAACTATGACCCTTATGGTAGGTGAGGAAAGGTATCACAGAGGTAAGTTAAAAAGAGAACAGATGCTAAATTTAGATCCTGGGGAGTTGGTGGCAGTTGGAAATAAAGAATGTAAAATCGACTTTAGGATGGCAAATTGACTATTTTTCATATGAAAATGATTAAAAATATGAAAGCCTCTATCTTCAGTAAAGTTCTCTTAAGCAGCAAAAAGCCTTAGCATTGCAGCCAGGGAGGCTCACATGGGATGTAGAACAAAGGGCTACATCCCTCCCCAAACTTTACTCTTTCGGAGGAGTAGCAGCACTGCCCTCCTGGGAGTGGCTGAGGGACCCACTCACACATAGCACCACATAAAGCCTCACTTACTACTGGTGCTCTCAACCCCAAAATTTGCAAGGCAAAGTCTGAAAACCTCGGGAAGTTGCTTGATTTTTTTCCTCTTAGATATTAGTTTACAATAAAGTTACATGCTCACACTGACTAGGAGTTGAAAATGGATTACTAAGCTCTTACCCACTGTGTTCTTTCTGCTTCCTGCTTCCTGGCATAGACTGGAAATCACTCACGCTGCTTTACAAACACATGTACCTTATTCTGCATTAAAAGGGCTAATTTAGGCTCCAAAACTGTCAGAATTTACCCTAATTGGGCCTCTTATGCATGTATATGTAACACATTGTCCAAAAGTTTCCCAGAGAGGATAGTACACACTAAAACTCATAATGGAAAGTGAATCAGGCCGGGTGTGGTGGCTCACACCTATAATCCCAGCACTTTGGGAGGCAGAGGTGGATGGATCACCTGAGGTCAGGAGTTCGAGACCAGCCTGGCCAACATGGTGAAACCCTGTCTCTACTAAAAATACAAAAATTAGCTGGGTGTGGTGGCACACATCTGTAATCCTAGCTACTTGGGAGGGTGAGGCAGGAGAATCCCTTGAACCTGGGATGTGGAGTTGCAGTGAGCCGAGATGTTGCCACTGCCCTCCAGCCTGGGTGAAGAGTGAGACTCCGTCAAAAGAAAAAAAAAAAAGAAGAGAAAAGAAAAGAAAAGAGAGAATCAGAGCCAGGCAAGGTGGCTCACGTCTATAATCCCAGCAGCACTTTGAGGCACAGGCGGGCAGATCACCTGAGGTCAGGAGTTGGAGACCAGCCTGGCCAATATGGTGAAACCCTGTCTCTACTAAAAACACAAAAATTAGCTGGGCTTGGGGATGTGTGCCTGTAATCCCAGCTTCTCAAGAGGCTGAGGCACGAGAATAGCTTGAACCTGGGAGGCAGAGATTGTAGTAAGCCGAAATTGTGCCTCTGCACTCCAGCCTGGGTGACAGAGTGAGACTCCGTCTCAAAAAAAAAAAAAAAAAAAGAAAGAAAGAAAGTGAATCAATAAATATATAAGTTTATATAAGGGGACAAAATTCAAAATCCTAGCAAGTGCTCCAAAGCATTTAGCTCTTACTACTCTTTTTGCACTTCTGACATTAGTCTAATTATTTGTCTCCTCAACCTCGAGTTGTTTTTTTCATCTTTGCAACCTCAGCCCCCAACAATTAACATGAGGCATTCAATAGAGTAATAAATTCCAACAAATCTCTGACCTGCTGAGTCTCTGACAGCTCTAGTAGCTTAGCAGTCACAGAAATACCTGAACAGCTTGAAGGTCAAGATTCTGCATTTCCAAACACCACGGTCACCTTAAGATCTAACCTCCACGTCTGGTCCCCTGCAGGAAACAGATATTTGATCTACCCCTTATTCTAAGTTGAAACGTCAGGGACAAATCCACCATCCAAATTAAGGGTTGATCTAATCCACAAACAATCTTTGTGAAGATTTGTCCTTATGATTAAAAAGGAGATCCAGGGTTACAAGAAAAGGATCTGAAATGCTGCTTTCAGATCTCTCCTTTTATAGACACTTGGCAACATTCCTGGAAGCTCAAGTTCCCTTTAAAATGTGTCACGTGTATAACATGTGTGCCTGGACAGAAGTGTGAGGTAAAAGCCCAACCAGAGGCTTAAATACAATAAAGTGATAAGGTCACAGAAAGAAAACCTTGAGTAATCCCCGTTAGAATTATAAATACATTACTAGCTTTTCTCCGAAGTCATTTTCTTTTGGCCTGCATATTCAGGGATACCATTCTGGGAGAATGTCTGGGTATCTTAACAGTGGAAAAACCCTGTCTACCTAAATGTCTAATATTCATCTTCCCTTCCACATTCATTCCATTTCTCCAACTTGGCTGAAAATTCGTGTCAAAGATCCTGAACCCCAATTCCATACAATTTCCTATGTTTTAGACCAGTTTGGCTCTATTTTCACCTTTCAAAGGGGAGATGAGCTTAGAGAACTTTCTCCGATCCCCTG
Organism: Homo sapiens; assembly: GCF_000001405.40. NCBI lineage: Eukaryota > Metazoa > Chordata > Mammalia > Primates > Hominidae > Homo > Homo sapiens. The sequence continues at coordinate 77,099,236 of NC_000014.9, read as the reverse complement.
CTGCAATTAGTTCACAGTAACAGTGCCCACCTACCCATTCGCACCAGCCCACGTTGCATCTGTGCCAGGCAGCATGTGCACCCTCCAGGCATCCACCAGCCTGCCAGCTCAGCAGGGCAAAACTGGGCAGACCCTAGTACTGTGCTGTGACTGGCATACCACCAGCCTTCCAGGGCAAACGCCCAGGCAATGCATACTGCCAGGACTTGAGCAATAACAGGGAGCCTAGCTCCAGCCTGTGACCTGGGCCGGGATCAGAGCTCCCCCGAACCCACCCACTAACCACTTAACTCCTTACTTGGCACTGCCCACCTTCTCCCCAGAAACACTACCCCCGACACCAAGCCTGGCAAGCTGGCCACTCAGGGGAAACAACCAGCAACGAGGGTGACGGCAGGTCTCTGGAAAAGGCAGCACACCTGTGCCCTGGAGCCAGAACAGGGTACCACCCCCGACCTCAAACCGGAAGCCCAGGACCCTCGCCCAGTTACTAGTTCTGGCGCCCACTCACCTGCCCATTGCTTGGCCCTCAGCTCCCAGCCGGGCTGGACTCCAAGCTCTCTCCCCGCCCAGCCGGCTGGCGGTTGCGCCCAGGGCTAGACCAGGGCCCACCTGCCCCTCACACAAGCCTCCTCCCCACACGCAGCCCCCTCCTCACCCGCGATTCCCTCTCCCACGCCCCTCACAGCAAACCAAAGCCCTGCTCCCACCATTTGGCTCTCCGTCCTCCGAAAGTCCCGGTTTGCCCCTCTTGCCTACTCGCTCCTCTTCCTCTCTCCCCTACTTCCACCTCCTTTCCCCACGCTCCTCGCCCAATCCCTCTCCCGCCGTCATCCCTGCTCCCCTCCTCCCGGACCGAGCCCTCCCTTTCTCACCTAGGGCCGGGGTCGCAGCTCCACGACCGGCCTGTGGGTCAGGTGGCGCATGCGCGAGCACGGCCCCGCGGCACCATGACAACCTCGTCGTCGCTGGGTGTCTCGCTATCCCCACAGCCTCCCGCCCATTTCTCCTCCCCACGCCTCCGCGACGGCTTTCGCCAGCCACGTGACCCGACTCGGATGACCCGGCACCATGGAGACCGCACGCTGTTCTCCTAGAAGGGCCCTTGGAAATGCGCCCTTTCCCCGCCCCCGCCGGAAGACCAGGCCGGCGCGGGGCGGGGCCAGCGCTCAGAGGCCTACGCTCTGTCCGCGGCCGGCGGGCGTCTCTATGGTTGGTTCCTCAGGCCTCGCCGCCATTTTGTACGGGGGCCTTGAGCAATGAGCGGCTTGGGCAAGGTTTCCAGGCGGGGTTCAGAGGAGCCGGGGGTGGGGCCGGCTTGGAGTCGATACAGAGAGAGGAGCGACTCTCGCACTGTCTTGGTGCGTGCCGCCGTGCCGCCGTGCCGCCGTTGGGGGTGGGGGCCGGGGCGAGTCGTGTCCGGCCTGTGCGCGTGCCGGGAGCGACAGTGCCCGGCGTGGGAGAGCGGGCGTGCGGGCGGCCTCAGCCTGGAGTCGCCGTGACAGGGGTGCCAGACCTCCCCGCGTGCTCCTCGCATTTTCTCTACGCCTGTCGCCCTGTTTGTTTTTTGTTCCCGTCCACCCTCGAGACCGTGCTTCACGAGGTCGAGGCGCGATGAGTTATTTTAAGTAGATGATTTCATGACCTTTGATGTTTGACTGACTTTGTCATGTGCTATGGGTTTTATATGGATGCTGTTTCTTGGTGAAGGTTCACGGTGAACACACGTGTGTAACAGCTAAAGAAAAAAAGGGCTTGGGATCAGTTGACGTTCTGATGCCTTGAATCAGTGAAGGTTACTTAGAAAAAGAATTATTTCGCTAGTGAAAAAGAGGACATGGGCGAGTTTAAAGAGTTGACGGGTCGAGGCAGATTCAAGAGCTGAGCTGTCCAGTAAGATGGTCACTAACGACTGGATAAGTTTCTCAGTTGTACTAGCCACATTTCAGGAGCTCAGTGACCTCTTTATTGGACAGTGCAGATTATATATAGCCCATTCCCAGCATCGCAGAAAGTTATATTGGACAGTGCTGATTTAGATAGTGGGGAATTGTTTTATACTGGTCATCCAGGCCTTTGTAAGTGCTGCTAGGTCGTGGTTAATCACGTTAGTCCTCTAGACACAGGTAATTCTAATGTATTACTGGGTATGGGTGTACTTGTTAGTAGTCAGCTTTACCAACAAGTAATATGCCTACACCATGTAAGGCTTTTGTTTTGGGGACAGAGTGAAAGCAATAGTTAACAATTACCAAGTAATTAGGAGCCGGGCCGCTTTATATGCATCCTTTTATGATTCCTTACAAGTTTATGACGCAGGTGGTATTTTTTTCCAGTTGTGTGGCGTTTTTGCCCATTAGGACTCAACTAAAAACCCATGGCTTTGGCCAGGCACAGTGGCTGACGCCTGTAATCCCAGCACTTTGGGAGGCCGAGGCGGGCGGATCACCTGAGGTCAGGAGTTCAAGATCAGCCTGGGCAACACGGTGAAACCCCGTCTCTACTAAAAATACAAAATTAGCTGGGCGTGGTGGCACATGCCTGTAATCCTCGGGAGGCTGAGGCAGGATAATCGCTTGAACCTGGGAGGCGGAGGATGCGGTGAGCCGAGATCGTGCCATTGCACTCCAGCCTGGGCAACAAATCTCCGTCTCACCAAAACAAACAAACGAAAACCGTGGCTTTTATCCATGAAGCTATTAATATATTGCCTTCTTTTGAAGTGGAATAAAACAATCTGCCTTCAGATAACTTAAAATCTGATATGGGAAATAAGACGCGCTGTAATAAATAATATGAAAGAGAATGGGATAAGTACCAGAAGATTGTGAACAAAACCTAATTAATAAAATAAAGGGAGAAAAAAAAACTTTGTTTTTTTTTGGTTGTTGGAGTAGGAAGAGATCAGTAGGTAAATCTTTAAGGATAGCTAAAAGTTGGATTTGCAGTAATGGAAGTGGGTGAGAGTACGACGCACACAAAGCAAAAAAAGAATCAATGAAATAAGCAAAAGCATGAGGTGTGGTCCTATCTTAGTTTTCCGAAGGGGCAAATAAATAAACTATGAGAGGAATGAATTAATGGCATTTGCAGCAACCTGGATGAGATTGGAGACTTATATTCTAAGTGAAGTAACTAAGGAATAGAAACCCAAACATCGTATGTTCTCACTCATAAGTGGGAGTTAAGCTATGAGGATGTAAAGGCATAAGGATGATACAGTGGACTTTGGGGACTCAAGGGGAAAGGGTGGGAAGGGGGTGAGGGATAAAAGACTACAAATTGGGTGCAGTGTATACTGCTCAGGTGATGGGTTCACCAAAATCTCACAAATCACCGCTTAAGAACTTACTCATATAACCAAAATGCCACCTGTTCCCCAAAAACCTATGGAAATAAAAAATTTAAAAAACAGCAGCATGGATACTAGGCTTAATACCTGGGTAACGAAATCATCTGTACAACAAACCGCCATGACACAAGTTTACCTATGTAACGAATCTGCACACGTATCCCTGAACTTAAATAAAAAACAAAACAAAAATAAAATTCAAAAAAAAAAAGAATAAAAGTCTGCCTTCAAATAACTTACAATCTGATATGGGAAATAAGACATGATGTAATAAGCAATATGAAAGAGAATGGGATAACTACCAAAAGATTCTGAACAAAACAATAACATTAAGGGAGAAAAAAAAAACTTTCTTTTTCGGTTGTTGGAGTAGAAAGAGACCAGCAGGTAAAGCTTTAAAGACAGCTTGAAAGTTGGGTTTGCAATAATGGAAGCAGGTGAGGGGATAATGCATACCAAGCAAAAAAGAATCAGTGAAATATGCGAAAGCATGAGGCCCTCTTAGTCCTCCGAAGGGGCAAATAAACCAAACTTCCTTGACTTTACCTACATCTTGAGCAGACAGCCATGCTGTACCAATAACTTAAGCTTCAGACAAGTATTGTAATGGAACCAAATGAATCAAGACTAATGATAGGCATAATTTTTATGATTATTTTATGCTATGATTCTATATAATTAGATATACAGAATAAGCAATTCATGAAGATTGATAGTGAATATTTTTATGTAGCTAAACCACCGTAAACGTTTTTCTTCCTTTCCTATTAATTTACCAAGATTTGTAAATCAGCATCTATTGATAGTTTACTGGTGCCACGAATTCTTTAACCTTCACTCACTTTACTCTCTTTACTCTTGGTTGGAGTAAGGACCCTATGATGGATGGGGTAAGGACCCTGTGATGGATAGTGGGTTCTGAAGCACCTATTCTTCTTGCTGTAGGGTCCTTTCCAATTCAAGTTCTCCCCAGTACCATTGTGGTCTAGGTTCGGTTTCCTACCACCACAACCAGCAGGGGGAGACATGCGCCCTTAAATCCTACATTTAGGGACTTGCGAATGTTTCTTTTTTTTTCCCATCTACTTCTTGAAATTGTAACCTGCCTATCCGTGTGAGGATTTGAGTTTTTAACCCTGCCTAGGATACCATGAAGAGTCAGCCATGGGCCGAGTTTTATTTGAAGATATTTTAAGTGTATTATGTTATACAATTTAAAATATTTATAAACGATTGTTTAATAATTGTTGAATTTAAAATTAAAGTCATTTAAAAATATTTAAAAGTGGGCCAGGCGCAGTGGCTCACACCTGTAATCCCAGCACTTTGGGAGGCCAAGGCGGGCAGATCACTAGGTCAGGAGTTCAAGACCAGCCTGGCCAACGTGGTGAAACCCCGTCTCTACTGAAAATACAAAAATTAGCTGGGCATGGTGGCATGCGCCTTTAATCCCAGCCACTCAGGGGGCTGAGGCAGGAGAATTGCTTGAATCCAGGAGGCGGAGGCTGCAGTGAGCTGAAATTGTGCCACTGCACTCCAGCCTGGGTGACAGAGCGAGACTCCGTCTCAAAAAAAAAAAAAAAAAAAATTTAGAAGTAATTAAAATAGTGTAATAGGAGACGGTGAAAGTCAGTGATCTAGTTTCAAATTCCAGCTCCTATCAATATCATTTTACAAAAGAAGGGTCATTTTGATATCTTTTCCGTATACACAGAAGGGAAGATAGGACATAACCTCACAATTTAAAAATAGAATAATTTCGGGTGTATGAAAAACTTAAAGCTTTTAGTCTTATTTTTCCAGTTTGGCTGAAGACTGGTGAAAACATCACCACAAGGACTGGCAACAGTTCTTGGACTGGTGTTTGGGAACCATTGATTTCATTTTCCTGAACCTCAGTTTGGCCGTCTGTAAAATAGTTATCCTGTAGTTTGAATCTAGCATCTAGCATTATTGGTGCTGATCACTTCATAAGTCTTTAAATAGGATTTGATGGAGTGGTAAGTGTGTCTCATGGGTCAGTGAGAGAAGAGAGGGGCTCCAGCCTGTGTGGGCAGGGGGATCTACAGGTGCCAGATGGCAGAGGCAGAGGCCAGTGATAGTGGGATGTATGACCTTTTTTCCCTTAGCAGTCAGGTAACAAGGCCCTCACCAGCCAGACTGGTTCTTGGCTCATATTTTAGGGAAGTATTTGGCAGAGCAGGTACACTAAAAGGGTAATATTCAGGTTATGGTCAGGCTGTTCATATACAGGTGAAGGTTTTGATTTTAGAGACAGTGTAAACCCTTCCCACATAGCCCTCTGTCTTCTTGCTGATACTTGAAATTCCTTTAAGGAATTGCTTGACACCAAGATACTCTAGAACCCAAGACAAATTCTTCCATAACAACACGTAGTGCTTATTATTTGCCAGATGCTGTCCTAAGTGATTTGCCTACATTTATTCATTTAATCCTCCCACTGTCTATGAGATGGGTGTAGTATCATTATTTTCTTTTTACAGAGCAGGAGGCTCAGATATGGAGGCCCACGTCACTTGCCAAGGTCACCCGTGGTAAGTGGTAGAGCCAGGATTTGAATTCCAGAGTCCTTGCCACTTTGCTTGACAGCCTCCATGTTAAAGTGGAAATGGGTAATATCTCAGCCTTTCCTGCTATGCTAAGGAGGAGGCCAGTGGGGAGCTAGAAGCACTATGAGGAATAAAAATAAAATCTTAAGCCCTTCAGCTAACTGGAATGACCCCCTCTTGGCCAAGCAGTCCCCAGAGAAACCCTGAAAACTGAATGTCTGGCCGTGATGGGGAGAGAGGTCAGACACGCCTTAGTATGCCCCTTCCTTATTAATCTTTAACCAGAATTATTTCCTAAAGAGTAGGCAGAAACCAGCTTTAGAAAACAAGAAATGGACACCCCATTCCTTTATCCCTATTAGCCAGTCACCTGAGGTAGTGACTGCACTCCCCCACCCTCTTTACAGTTTCAGGGTGACAGCTTGCCAGTTTCACAAAGCATCCCTTCCTAAAAACTGACCACCATTGCTGGACTAGTTTTGGCTGACTCATGGAGGATGTGCAGCGAGGATTTTTGTGTCCTCTGCTTCACCTTTTGATGTCAGAGTAAAACTGCCTTTGCAAAGATTATGACGGTAAGAGAAGTCTAACATGGCTGACTCCATCTTGGTTTTGCCTCATAGGCTGGCTGTCCTCACTCATTCCTGGGTGTAGGCCAAGCTAACCATGGGAGGCATTTAGTTTATAATTTAACTTTGAAGCAAGAATGATAATAGGCCCTCCATGAAACTAACCCCCTCTTTGCTAGAAGGGGGTTACTGAAACCACTTTTGTGAAAGTAATGAAAAGGGACCGAAACCACTTTGGTAAAAGTAATGAAAAACCACAAGATTGGGATTATGGGATGGACCTGAATTCTGCTAAAATATATGTATAATTAAATGATAACAAGCCATGGCTGGGCGTGGTGACTCATGCCTGTAATCCCAGCACTTTGGGAGGCCGAGGTGGGCAGATCACCTGAGGTCGGGAGTTCGAGACCAGCCTGACCAAATGGAGAAACCCTGTCTCTAATAAAAATACAAAAATTAGCCGGGCATGGTGGCGCATGCCTGTGATCCCAGCTACTCAGGAGGCCGAGGCAGGAAAATCACTTGAACCCAGGAGGCGGAGGTTGCGATGAGCTGAGATAGCGCCATTGCACTCCAGCCTGGGCAACAAGAGCGAAACTCAGTTTCAAAAAGAAAATAAAAATAAAAATGATAACCAGCCATTGTTTCAGAAGTCACAAAATTTGTAACTTCCCCAAATGCTCCTATAGGTAATCACTATTTTAGAACCTAAGATTGGTCTTTTGAGATGTTTTTCAGACTTTTGCATTCTGGCAACTCATTGACTTCAATCGGATCTGTGACTCAGGAATCAACCAGTCCTGTGGGCCCCCTACCCAGAACTCAGCACACAAGGACTAATTTTCCACACCCCTATGATTTCTGCCCCAACCAGTCAGCAGCACCCATTCCCTAGCCCCCTGCCCACCAAATTATCCATAATATTATTGCCTCTCAGTTCTCAGGAAAACTGATTTGAGTAATAAACTCCCATCTTCTGCTTAGCTAACCCTGCAATAATTAAACTCTTTCTCTACTGCAATACTGCTGTCTCAGTGAATTGGTTTTATCTGTGCAGTAGGTAAGAAGAACCTGTTGGGCAGTTACAAGAGGGCCAAAAACTCTACTCTTGGACCATGCTAACACCACTACTTTTTTTGAATATAGGACTCAGGAAGAAATGTGAAGCTCAATTGCATATATGGTTGTTTCTCCTTTCATAAATATTCATGATTCCTGTAGCTGACTGAATATTATATATTTGGCCATGCAGCTAAGCATAAATTTCTGTTTGCTTTAGCCTTCCCTTGAAGTGATTGCTCTTAGCTTCTTCTGAAGGTTACACTTCCCAGCCTGTGGGCCTGCAGGCTGCAACCTTTTATGAGAAATAAAGCTCTCCCTTCCAGATTTATGAAATTCATGATTCTTTAGTTGACAATTAGGTAACAGGCACTTGTGTGGAAAGGAGGATGCCACGAATGGGGGCTGGGCACTGTAAAAGCATACTACAGAAAATGCCTCCAGCTGGTCATCTTTTTCTCTGTACATCATAGAGATAATTGAGGTGTGTGTGTGAGTGTGTGTGTGTGTATGTGTGTGTGTGTTGTATGCTGATTTCAACCCACATACCTGCCCAAACTATTCAGAAGCTGCCTTGTACCTGTTAGACCCTCATCCTGAATCTTTTTAGTGGAAAGACTTTTAAAGTATTTCCCCCAAAAGAGCATAAGGAACTTCACCCTAAAATATGGCTCCTAGATATAATGAGTATTTTGAGTTAAAAGCCCTTAGAGATCAACAGATGTTGGAAAAGACTTTTCCCTTATCTACATAAAGATTGGATAGACCCTACAAGGAGAACAATTGTTTCCCAGCCCCTGCCCCTTATTATCTATTTTCTTTTCGTTTATTTTTTGAGACATTGTCTTGCTCTGCCACCCAGGCTGGAGAGCAGTGGCATGATCTCAGCTCACTGCAACCTCTGCCTCCTGGGTTCAAGCAATTCTTCTGCCTCAGCCTCCCGAGTAGCTGATATTACAGGTGTGTGTCGCCACATCCAGCTAATTTTTGTTTTTTGTATTTTTAGTAAAGACGGGGTTTTACCATGTTGGTCAGGCTGGTCTTGAACTCCTGACCTCAAATGATTACCTACCTCAGCCTCCCAAAGTGCTAGGATTACAAGCGTGAGCCACCTTGAATTTTTTTTTTTTTTTTTTTTTTTTTTTTTTTTTTTTTTGAGACAGAGTTTCACTCTGCCACTTAGGCTGGAGTGCAGTGATGTGATCTTGGCTCACTGCAACCTCCATCTTCCTGGGTTCAAGCAATTCTCATGCCTCAGCCCCCTGAGTAGCTGGGATTACAGGCATGCACCACCACACCTAGCTAATTTTTGTATTTTTAGTAGAGACGGGGTTTCATCATATTGGCCAGCCTGGTCTCAATCTCCTGGCCTCAAGAGATCTGCCTGCCTCAGCCTCCCAAAGTGCTGGGATTACAGGCATGAGCCACCGTGCCTGGCTTCCTCCTCTTATTATCTATTGCAGAAAAGACCAAGAATGTAACCACACCTGAACAGACTCTTTCACAAGATGATGTCTCTCTTGCAGACTCACTCAGACAACCATTTAGAAATTAATCTCTGTTCCTCAATCCATTCATTCTCCCTAGCAACCATTTATTGCCAATCAACAGAATTACCTGTATTCCCTATCTCCCCCCTCCACCTGAAATAAGGCTATATGGACCCCATTGGGCAGTGGGGTAAGCACTCTGTGGTTCTCCCTGTTTGCACATTAATACATTTGTACGCCCTTTCTCTAATCTTCTTTTGTGAGCTGATTTTTTTGGCAAACTTTCAGAGGTCGAAGGGGAAGGTTTCTCTTTGCCCCTATACTCCTTCCCCAACTAAATACGAAGTCGTCTATTTATTGAGATGAGAGTCTCTTTGTCACCCAGGCTGGAGTGCAGTGGCATGACCTGGGCAATAGTGCAGCCTTGACCTGGGCTCAAGCAATCCTCCTGCCTCAGCCTCGCAAGTAGCTGGGACTACAGGTGCATGCTGCCACACCCAGCTAATTATTTTTTAAAGATGGGGCCCTCCTATGTTGCCTAGGCTGGTCTTGAATTCCTGGCCTCAAATGATCCTCTCGCCTTAACCTCCCAAGTAGCTGGGATTACAGGCACAAACTACCATGCCCGGCTTTGAAGTCTTTGATTTAAACTCACACCTTCTCTCTCTCTAGGCCACCCAGAAAGCTGTTCACTTGCCCCTTTGTGTGGAAGCATTTGATTTTTGGCTTGGAGGTTTGCCTTGGCTTCATATCTTGCCTCATAGGTTTACCTCCCTTCTGTCAACAGCCTTTGGATCCCAGTTGAGTTCACCAGCATGGGATTAACAAAAGACAGGGAACACAGACCACCACAGCAGAAAGCCCAATGGAATTGGAGCTCTTTAGTGGAACTTGTTGCTTCAGTAATAGGAAGCTGACTACAAAGACCAAGATTAGGAATAGCCTCCATATAGAAATTATTTACAAAAATTGAGTACTTTGTGTCTTGTAGCTTGATCTAGACTGGCTTGTTTTGTAATTTCTTGCGTACTTCTCTGTCTCCCTCACTGGAGTCTAAACTCCTTAAGGGCTGGGATTATATCTTAATGGTTTTCTCCCACAAAGTAAATTCTGCATAGTAGATGTTCAACTAACTTGCTATCAGTGGGACCCAAACTTCCTGAACATTTAACAGTGGGCTCACATATCACTGAAAGGACTCCAGAGAAGGAAAAGACACCATGAAGGAGGGGAGTGAGTAGCTTCCGTGGGCACAGGTGCACAGGAGCTCGTCCCTATTCTTTTGTCAGTTCCCTGACATGCTCCACTCTCTGCCACCTCCAGGCCTTTTGCACACACCTGTGTATGGCCACTGGGGAAAGGAGGAATGAAAGTAACTGTGACTCCCACAGGTTTTGCTCTACACTTGTCATTCTGGCAAAGAAATCCCAGAGCCTGCATTGTTCCTCCCACCCCTCTGAGTCATTGGAGGGTCTTTTCCATTCTGAAATTTACTCAAGAATGCTCTTGAATCCTCCTCCTTTATGTTTGATTTGGCTCATGGCTGACTCTATTTGGAATTCCATGAAGAATCTTATAAAACCTAGTAGTCAGTAGAGATATAGTGGCTGTACTTTGCAGACCGAGATATACCCAAGAATGTCATATGCCAGTACTCCTCTCTCCAGCCCCAGGGAGTCTGGATGGGCCTTTGTCAAGTTTCACTTCACAGGATTGGCCAGCTGGGCTTGTTTAAGTCAGCACCAAAACAGGTTAAACAGGCTCCATATGTTGGGTTGAAGCCACGCCCAGTTGTTCGTCAGAACTACCTGGTTGATTTTATCTCGATTCAGAATCTGCTTTCTTCACAGCCAATTGCCTGATTGCAGAGTCTAAGGTCTCAAAATTAAATCTCAAACAGGAGACTGAAAAGCAAGCAGTCAATTTGCAAAGACTTAAATATAATATTGCGGTGGGGATGGGGCATGTTGAGACTCAGAAAACAACACCCCAAACTGAAGGCCTCAGAAAGCAGCCTCAAAAGCAAAAGTTTTTCTCTGACCTTCTCCTGCCCTCCTGTCTCTCTATCCCATTCTGTCCCCAGGCCAGCCATAGAAACTAGAATCCCTCTTCCCCAAGGCGGGTCAGAGAAACAGAACCCCTTTTCTCCAAACCATAAAACCTAAAAATAATTTTCCTTCCACCTTGCTGTGTAAAAACTGTCCATAAAGAAATTACCTGACTACCTTGTTTGACTATAGCTCATAAGAGCCCCCATTCCAGAGAGGGTCCTGCCCCATACCCAGAAGGAAGGAGTGCAGGCTCAGAGAGGCTGAGAAAAATCTAGACAAACAAGGCTCGCTGGGTTTCCCCACTCAGTCTGGTAGCATTTGATCACAGTCTTTTTTGTCCAATCATATTTCTGCCTGGCTGTCCATACTTTCTTGGACCTAAGCACAAAAATGAACAATTTTCCCTGTATCTTTGGGTCGTCTTTCTGAAGTCTCCTGTGTACACATGTTAAATAAATTCGTGTGCCTTCTCTCCAATTAATCTGCCCCTTGTCAGAGATTTTCAGCAAACCTCCTAAGGATGATGGGGATGTTTTCCCTTGGCCCCTACAGGCATATATTCTTTTTTTTTTTTTTTTAATCTGTGTGTGTGGGGAGGTCCTTTTGAAAATTCAAATGAAAAAGATGAGTCCCCTTACACTTCCAAATTTGCAGTGGAATTTAAATTTATTTATTTATTTTTTTGAGACAGGGTCTCACTCTGTGGCCCAGGCTGAGTGCAGTGGTGCAGTCTTGGCTCACTGCAACCTCTGCCTCCCAGGTTTAGGTGATCCTCTCACCTCAGCCTCCCAAGTACCTGGGACCACAGGCTCATGCCGCCATGCCTGGCTAACTTTTTTTTTTTTTTTTATAGAGGCGGGGTTTTGCCATGTTACCCAGGCTGGTCTCGAACTCCTGAGCTCAAGCGATCAATCCTCCCTGGGCTCCCAAAGTGCTGAGATTACAGGTGTGAGTCACTGCACTTGGCCTGCTCTCTTTTTCTTGCTTAACATCAGAGTAGCTTTCACACATTTTTTTATTCATTCTCCAACATTGTGTTTTTAGCCTAAAGACAGTGATGTCAATACCTACAGTTGAGCGGAGTCGTTACAAGGCAGCTTATGTGTCTAAAGTGTCTTGGAAATCCTGTGCAAACAAATGAGCATTTTCCTCAGGTATGAAAAAGGGTGATTTATTCACCCAGAACTTGGGGTTTCTTTAAGATGTTGAGTATCCTTTTTAAGATTTAAAGGGCTGCTTTTTTCTAGTAAAGTCTCATCCCAGCTGGCATCACGGGACACGCTGATCTGGAGCTGTTATTGAACTGATGGCCATTCCCATGCAGAACGATGGTACGTTTGGCCTCCTGCTTTGTGGACAAGTATAATGGGATAACCCACAGGATTTACCCACAAGGTAAATCCAAGAAAATTCACTGCAATGTCTTGTGCTAATAGTTTAATGAAATTGAAATTCTCCCTCCAGCAATTTCTGACAGGGCATGGGGATTTTCTCCGGTGTCACCATACTTCAGCAGGAGTGACTGTGTCATCCAGGTGCAGGTATTCTTGGTTGTCCTTTACCTGTTGTCTCTTCTTGTCACACATAGCTAAGAAAGCAGATGATAGGTTCATCTCTATTACATGGGGAATTACCAAGTGGTTGCCTAGCAACTCACACAGCACAGTCAACATGGTCTCTGTTGTGGAATGTAGAGTGGTTAGCTTTCTTTTCAAGAATGTATTTCCATACTTCTTTTGGGTTTCTAGAAAAGAAGGTACATTTCCTGGATTTGAGGTTAGTAAAATGGACTTTTGTATTGCTTTTCCCAGTATTTATTCTATAGTAGGCCATTATTGTAACAAACAACAATTATCTGATCAAATCATTAATACAGCAATTGTTTCACTTTCATTCAATTCAGTAAGCATCTTCTATGTGCCATATACCCTACTAGACACTGTAAGGAATTATAAGGATGCACAAGTGTGGTCCCTGGTCTCAGGGAACCTAAAATTTAGTGTAGATGGTTATATGTTTAATAGATGTGTATAACTCACTTGTTTACGCATGCGAAACACATAGCTATATATGTATGTAAAATAAAGGTATCTTTATTTGGAAGAGTTCCTTTGTGTTTGATCAAAGGAATTTTTGCTTGTATTTAGATTACTGCCTTCATAGCTTACAGCTGCAATCAGTTCAAAAAGCTGTAATCAAAAATTGTAATCACTTTTAAGACATAGCTCCTATTGGAATCTAAGTAATTAGCAGCTCTTAAACAGCTCTTGTTGGAATATGCCTCTGCCGCTGCTGATGTTATCAGATAGGATGGTGCTGCTCAGTGTCTGCACTGCAGTCTTTCTGCATAATTGCTGCTGTGGCATTCACAGCTCCCTGCTTCTATTTCACACATTCCAGTTTAAAAGAAGCCCCTTGTCTTTCTTTGTCTACTTTGTAACCATGCAGCTGCCTCTCTCCCCTTGAAGAGGGACTTTGGCATGTCCCAACTCTTGCGTTAGGGAATCCTTTGATTACTTCAGCTAACTTCTTTTCCACTGGAAAGACAGTTGCTAGACAGAGCCTGGGACTTGACTAGCGCCTTTCCCGTGAATTGACTCATCTGGTGAATTGTGGCATCTTCATCCTCAGGAAGGTGCCAGGACATGGAGTGAAGTAAGTGTCCCTTGATGCAGCTGGTGCCTATTCGTTAGATTCTCCTCCTGAGTGAACTGTACTGAGACTCCACTAAGGAAAGAGGAAGCTTTTGTGGATAGTTGTGCCACAGCCCCAGAATTCTCTTCCACCATTTTGGCTAGCGCTCTTTAGTTTCTCTGCTTGCCTTCCCAGTCCCTGTGCAGGGCCTGCCCCTTGATCGTTTTCTCCGCCGTCCAGTTCCCTTAGATCCCTTGAGAAATCATTTGGACCTCTTGCCTTCACACAGAGCCCCTGACCTTTGCTTCCCAATACAATGTCAGCTAGAAGGAAGAGGACAAAGGGTAGAAGGGGACTGTGTGAGACCAAACATTGTACAGACGTTTTCCTTAAGCTTCCTCATTTCATCCTCATAACCACTTCTCCCTAGCTCTTCACAGCCCCATTCCACACATGAAGCTCAAAAAAGTGCTACACAGATTGCTCTAATGAGTACTGCCACAGTCTCCTGTCTCAAGTCAGTTTTTCACTTACGATCAAGCTAACCAACATTTACTGTGTACTGTGTCCCTCCCAAGGGTTAGGAGCACAGTAAAGCATATATAAGGCCCAGTCTCTTCTCTTAAGGAGTTCCCAGAATGGTTTTATAAGTGCTATAAGAAAGATTTGGGAACACAAATAGGAGATCAGTTAGTTTAGGTAAAGGATGGGAGATCAGGAAGAGACACTTAGCCATTTAGATCTGGAAGGTTGGCTAACAAGAGAGGGCTCTCTATTTACCTTTAAAAATGGGCCTAGGGCTGGGTGCAGTGGCTCACGCCTGTAATCCCAGCACTTTGGGAGGCTGAGGCGGGCGGATCACCTGAGGTCAGGAATTCGAGAACAGCCTGGCCAACATGATGAAACCCCGTCACTAATAAAAATACAAAAAAAAAAAAAAAGGCCGGGCGTGGTGGCTCACGCCTGTGATCCCAGCACTTTGGGAGGCTGAGGCAGGTGGATCACAAGGTCAGGTGTTCAAGACCAGCCTGGCCAACATAGTGAAACCCTGTCTCTACTAAAAAAATAAAAATAAAAATAAATAATTAGCTGGGCGTGGTAGCAGGCGCCTGTAATCCCAGTTACTTGGGAGGCTGAGGCAGGAGAATTGCTTGAACCTGGAAGGCGGAGGTTGCAGTGAGCTGAGATCGCACCACTGCACTCCAGCCCGGGCAACAGCGTGAGATTCCATCTCAAAAAAAAAAAAAGTAGCTGGGTGCAGTGGCGCACAGCTGCAGTCCCAGCTACTCGGGAGGCTGAGGCAGGAGAATCGCTTGAACCCAGGAGCGGGAGGTTGCAGTGAGCCGAGATTGCGCCACTGCAGTCCAGCCTGGGTGACAGAGTGAGACTCTGTCTCAAAAAAAAAAAAGAAAAAAAAAGGCCTAGAAAAAGCTGGGTGTTGGCCAGGCATGGTGGCACACGCCTGTAATCTCAACACTTTGGGATGCCGAGGCAGGCGAATCACCTGAGGTCAGGAGTTCAAGACCAGCCTGGCCAACATGGTGAAAGCCCATCTCTACTAAAAAATACAAAAATTAGCTGGGTATGGTTGCAGCCGCCTATAATCCCAGCTACTTGGGAGGCTGAGGCAGGAGAATCGCTTGAACCCGGGAGGCGAAGGTTGCAGTGAGGTGAGATCAAACCATTGCACTCCGGCATGGGCAAGAGAGCAAGACTTTGTCAAAAAAAAAAGAAAAAAAGGAAGAAGGGAAGGAAGGAAGGAAGGAAGGAAGGAAGGAAGGAAGGCGGGAAGGAAGGAAAAGCTGGATGCAGTGGTGAATGCCTGTAGTCTGAGACCAGGCTGGGCAACATAGCAAGACCTCATCTCTAAAAATAATAATAAATAAAATAAAAATTAATGATGGACCCAGAGCAGAGATCTGTTGCCCTTTGATGTTGGGAAATCCTTTATTGCTTGAATCTAAATCCTTTATGCTGCAGTTTACACCGTATTTCCTCTCGTTTCAACTTCAGTTAAAATAGCGAAAATCTGGCCTAATACCCTAGTCACTCAGAGGTTTTTTAGCAAGTCATATCTGGCTCACTACCCTAGCATAGAAAAGAAACTATTTTCCTCTCACCCCAAAACCCTGCAGCTAGACTTTTCTAGCTGCTGCACTATGAACAGTTTCTAAGAGATTCCTCCCACTAGAGCCTTCCCTAGAAGGGTGGAGGTGGGCAGGGCAATCAGCGAATCGGGCGGCCTGCCCCAGATAACTGCACTTGGAAAGAGTCTGCATTGTAAGCATTTCTCATGGTGTCTTCACTGAAGACAGAATTTTTGAAGTTAAATGACATATGAAAGACAGGAATAAAGTACAGTGTCTCACAACATCCTGTAAGAGATTTTTACCAGCCTATGGGTCATATTAACCAAGGAGGTCATATTGACATCCAGACCTAAATTTCATTAGCTCTGGTCTCCTACTGAAGGTCTATAGAACTTGCTAGCCATCCCCTCGCCCTGCTAACTCACCCTTAGTTATTTCTGGGAGACCCCCGAACTATCTCCCATAGGTTCATAGGCAAATCCACTATGTTCTTCCCCTTCAGCCTCCCCATTCCTGGTCTGCTATTCACAAGCTCCTTAAAAGGGGGTACCTCATCAGTGTCTGTGGCCTCCATAAGAACATTGTTCTTGCAGTGGTCACTCCTGTTGCCCTGCTGGGAACAGCATTCTCTCCCTTCTCTCCTGGGGCCACTCTAAGCCAGCAGGTCACCAAAGTGGAGGGTGGGATAGGGCAGCAGGGACCTCTCACAGACTGGCTGCACTTCGTTAAGTGTGTTGTGAAGCAAAGCTGCATATATCTTTAGTTGCACAAAGCCTCACACAGTTACTCCTCTTTCCATTTATCGCCCCTCACGCTTCCCTCACAGGGGCTGGAAATGAGTCTCTCAAACCATCATGGAAGATAACAGCTCATCAATACCTTCCAGTACACTTATCTTTCTCCCCAGAGAGCTCTGAACCCAAACAAAACAACTCCCACAAAACCAAACAAATAAAACTCAAAACCCTCTTCAATTCAAGATAGCAAAACTATGTCAATTGATGCAAATACTTAACAATACTTGGGTGGACAGAAATGAGAAGGTTGGTGATGTTTTGTACACTCCATCCCATAATTCATAAAACCCAGGAATAGTGGGGGTTTCTCATATAACTTGAAAAGGAAGTCAACTTATTTGCATAAGAAACATAATGCATGAAAGCTCTCATCTCATTGGCAATCTGTGAGAACGCAATCCTGGGAGAAATCTGCAATGGTTGTAGTCCAAAATTTAACAGTGCTTTGTCAAATGGACTTCTTGCTATACAAGAATTTTCTCTGTAGGTGCTAAGAAACATCCACTGCACCCTACTCCAAAATAAACACACAGAAATTAAACTCTTTCAATCCAGATAACACAAAAGACAAAGATAGAAATGGGATTGCCCTAAAAGTAGACTTCACAGTATGGTGGACAGAGCTCAGGATGTGGCATTAAAGGTCTTAGTCGAATCCAGGCCCTGCCACTTACAAGCTGGAATCCCCCGAGAAAGTCCCTTTCCCACCAGGCACGGTGGCTCACGCCTGTAATCCCAGCACTTTGGGAGGCCAAGGCAGGTGGATCACGAGGTCAGGAGTTCGAGACCAGCCTGACCAACATGGCGAAACCCCATCTCTACTACAAATACAAAAATTAGCCAGGCATGGTGGCACATGCCTGTAATCCCAGCTACTCAGGAAGCTGAGGCAGGAGAATCGCTTGAACCTGGGAGGCGGAGGTTGCAGTGAGCTGAGATCGCACCACTGCACTCCAGCTTGGTTGACAGAGCGAGACTTCCTCTCAAAACAACAACAACAAAAACAAAACAAAAAAAAACCTGTAGAAACTTGCTTTTGTGGTCTAAGTATATTCTTAGTTTAAAACCAAAGTGTTTTGTTACTACTGCTATTTGTTTAAACATCTCTGTTTCAACATTAGCTTTAGCCACAGAGAGTATCTGGGACCAGAAACACAGGATCTCTATTAAAAGAACACGAAACGTCACTTCCACACGACCTGCAATTTCTAGAATGGAGAGAAAGCTTCAGTAAACATTCAGTAATAGCATGCAACAAAGGCAAGTAAAGGCTGTGATAGAACACTGGCATGGTGTTCTTAAAAGAATAATATTATTTGTCCTGTATTTAGCCAACATAAGGATGTATTGCTCTTGTTTTCTCATGGTGGGAGATATGAAGTTATGAAGAGATAGTTACTGGATCAAAATAGAAGAAATGATGCCTGGCAGCTAGAAAAAAATATTCATGTGCATTGATTACACAATAAACAAGTAAATACGTAAGTAGCTCTTCTTTACCCATTATTCTAAATCTTCAGTGATAAATCACTATACTTCACAAGGATCTATGAATTTTGCAATGTATTAATTTTAAATTAATTAATTTATTTTTTATTTTCATTTATTTATTTTTTTGAGACAGAGTCTCGCTCTGTTGCCCAGGCTGGAGTGCCATGGTGTGACCTCGACTCACCGCAACCTCTGCCTCCTGGAGTGGATTCTCGTGCCTCAGCCTCTCAAGTAGCTGGGACTGCAGGCACACACCAGTATGGCTGGCTAATTTTTTGTATTTTTAGCAGAGATGGGGTTTTACCATGTTGCCCAACTGGTCTCAAACTCCTGGGCTCAAGTGATCCACCCACCTCGGCCTCCCAAAGTACTGGGATTAGAGGTATGAGCCACCACACCGGGCCTAATTTGTTTATTTTTATTATTTTTATTTTTTTGAGACAGGGTCTTGCTCTGATGCCCAGGCTGGAGTGCAGTGGTATGAACATGGCTTACTGCATCCTCAAACTCCTGGGCTCAAACAATCCTTCTGCCTCAGCCCCCCAAAGTGCTAGGATTAATTTGTTTATATAGACAGGAGGAGTTCCAGAAAAAACATTTTCCTGGGGTCTGACGTACCTTAAGGGTGGTCTTGACCACTACCTGGCCAACAGTGCCATGGATTTCAAAGATATTAGAATACATTAAAAACATGGATCTTAGAATAGATGTAATGCAACATTTAGTCTCTCAGAAAAGGCAAATTTATTTCTTTCTCACTTGAGGTATTCATTGCAGATTGTCAGGATACTCTGCTCCACAAGGTCATTCAGGGATCCAGGTTCTTTGCATTTTCCTGTCATCTCTTAGGGCATCATTTTTACTAGCATGGCAAAGCTAGGTCTCAGGCAAGATCATGTTCTGGTTCAAGGGAAGGGGAAAGAGTAAGGATGAGACATGCCCACTATCTTTTTTTTTTTTTTTGAGTCTCACTCTATCACCCAGGCTGGAGTGCAGTGGCATGATCTCAGCTCACTGCAACCTCCGCCTCCTGGGTTCAAGCAATTCTCATGTCTCAGCCTGCCGCATTCCCACTATCTTAAGGCCTAGGTGTAATCATCTCTTCTGCCCATATAGTGCAAACTTAGTCATGTGGTCACACCTAACTGCAAGGTGTCCCCCAAGTGACTACTCACTCCAGGGCTGGGACTCACATGTACTACGATTTGAACTGCAAGGAAAATTGGGAAATGCTATCTCCAGCTGAGCAACTATGGACCCAACTACATATATGTTACTATGAAAAAATGGGAGGAAAAATCTTGGTAAAACTCTGGCAGTCTCCATTTTAGAGATCCATCTGAATGAACCATCTCAGATGCTAGTTTATCTTAGAGATACCTGAAAGAGTTCTTGTTTGTCACCTGGAGGTTGATTTGGACAATCATGGCACAGGTATTATACTACCACTCGGCAGAGTCTTCTTTAAACTTTTAGCTCTCACCTTAATCAATTTAAGAGTGAGCTTCTTTTTGGTATAAAGACTTTGGTAGGTCAGGTGTGGTGGCTCACACCTATAATCCTAGCACTTCAGGAGGCCGAGGTGGGCAGATCACTTGAACTCAGGAGTTCGCGATCAGCCTGGGCAACATGGTGAGACTCCATCTCTACTAAAAATACAAATAGTAGCTGGGTGTGGTGGTGCACACTTATAATTCTAGCTACTCTGGAGGCTGAAGAGGGAGGATTCTTTGAGCCTAGGAGGTTGAGGCTGCAGTGAGCTGAGATCTCACACTACACTCCAGCCTGAGCGACAGAGTGAGACCCTGCCTCAAAAAAAAAAAAAAAAAAGAAAAGAAAAGAAAAGAAAAAAAAGACTGTGGTAGCTATGTATTGCTTTTTGTCATCAAGAATCCTTTCACCTGTCTCCCAGTGGTAGTATGCTACTTTCCTCTTGGGAACCCCACTTCCCCATTCTTGATGTCCCACAGACAGAGTTGACTCCACTCCCAGATCCAGAAGTGGTTATGTGACTACAACCTGGCCACTTAGGCCATCACATTCCCCAGCCATGGTGTCTTGCTTGATGATGGATTCATGTTCAAGTCAGAGCCAGTTCAGTGGAATGAGACTTTTGCTGGGACTGCAAAAAGAAAAGCACTTCATGTTTTTTCCTCACAAGTCTCAGGCATAGGAAGAGGTGGGACTGGATTGCTGGCAGCCATCTTATCCCAACAAGAAAACGCTATGGAGAAGAGCAGCATCGGGGATAAAGATAAAGCCAAATCTTGGTGATATTGTTTGAATCCCTGGATCAAGCTTGGCCTGAACCAGCACAATGCCTAATCCCTGGTCTGCTTAGTTATATGAAACAGCATCCCAATTTAAAGTCATTTAGAGGTGAATTTTCTGTCACTTAGTGCAACCGAGAGAGTAATAACTGATGCGAAGGCCACATAGACTTGGCCTTTTTTTTTTTTTTCCTGAAGTATAAATTCCCTTAGCATCTGTGTGGCCCAGCACTACACTCTGGATCTCCTTAGCTGTCTGGTCACTGAATGGGGACTGCTACTTGGCCGTGATTCTCAACCAGGGGTAATTTTGCCCCCAAGGGACAGTTTTGTCATGGAGTTGGGGGAGGCGCTACTGGCATCTTGTGGATAGAGGCCAGGGATATTCCAAAACATCCTACAATGTACAGGGCAGCCCCGACAACGAAGAATAATCCAGCCCAAACTGTCATTAGTGCTCTGTAGATGGTTTTGGCTGCTATAACAAAATACCTTAGACTGGGTAATTTATAAACAATGGAAATTTATCATTCACAGTTCTGGAGACTGGAAAGTCCAAGGTCAAGGCGCCAGCAGATTCAGTGTCTTGTGAGGGCTCATTCCTCATACATGGTGCCTCCTCTGTGTCCTTGCATGGCAGAAGGGGTCAACAAGCTCCTTCAGGCCTCTTTTATAAAAGTCTTAATCCCATTCATGAGGGGAGAGCCCTCAGGACCTAATCATGTGGCAGGCAGATTGTCTGAGGTCAGGAGTTCGAGACCAGCCTGGCCAACGTGGAGAAACTCTGTCTCTACTAAAAAAAAAAAAAAAAAATAGCCTGCTGTGGTAGTGCACACCTGTAGTCCCGACTACTCGGGAGGCTGAGGCAGGAGAATTGCTTGAACCTGGGAGGTGGAAGTTGCAATAAGCCGAGATCACACCATTGCACTCCAGCCTGGATGACAGAGCAAGGCTCTGTCTCAAAAAACAAATAAATAGGCCGGGCGCGGTGGCTCACGCCTGTAATCCCAGCACTCTGGGAGGCCGAGGTGGGTGGATCAAGATGTCAGGAGATGGAGACTATCCTGGCTAACACGGTGAAACCCCGCCTCTACTAAAAATACAAAAAATTAGCCAGGCGCCGTGGCAGGCACCTGTAGTCCCAGCTACTCGGGAGGCTGGGCAGGAGAATGGCGTGAACCCTGGAAGCGGAACTTGCAGTGAGCCGAGATCTTGCCACTGCACTCTGTCTGCCTGGGCGACAGAGCGAAACTCTGTCTCAAAACAAAAAAAAACAAAAACAAAATAAATAAACAAACAAATAAATAAATAAATAAAGAGTGTTAGGAGCCTTCTCTCCTGTAAGCTGTGAACAACTAAGCTTGTTTAGGTCCTGAAATGTCACTGTCATTGTCAGCATGATAAATGCTTTGTGCTGTAATAATACAGAGAAACAGGATGTCTATTCCCCAAAGCCTCTGTGATGGAGAAGGTGGGCTTTCCAGAGGCTCTGACTGTGGAATGTGTCTAGAATCCTCTGCATGTTTTCCAGGTTCACCTCCACACCCTCATCTCTGCTCAGCCGGGTCCTTGCTAGGAGCAGGAACCTGCCTGGTGGGTCTCTGATGGCAGCCCCATGCTCTGCAGACCCCGGACTCTCCGCAGCCCCAGCTCCTGCCTTGTCCTGTTGTCTTCCACCAAGGGGCACCCTTCTTTAAAAAGCTGGACTCTTTTTTTTTTTTTTTTTTTTTTGAGATAGGTTCTTGCTCTATCACCCAGGCTGGAGTGCAATAGTGCAATCACAGCTCACTGCTGCCTCCACTGCCTGGGCTTAAGTAATCCTCCTGCCTCAGTCTCCTGAGTAGCAGGGACCACAGACACACACCAACACTCCAAGCTAATTTTTAAAAATTATTTGTAGGGATGAGGTCTCGCTATGTTGCCCAGGCTGGTCTCAAGCTCCTGGCCTCAAGGGATCCTCCTGCCTTAGCCTCCCAAAGTGCTGGGATTACAGGAGTGAGCCACTATGCCCGGCCCAAGACTGACTCTTAAAAAAGGACAGAGCTAGTCCCAAGCTTGTGCAAGGACAGTGAGAGAGGGGAGACTCAGAAGTAGCCAATTTTTCCCCCAGTAATTAATAAGACATTTAAAGGACTTATCAGGTCACCACAGCTCCATCATCCCTGGGGAATTGTTTGGTTTAGCAGAACTGTTCCCACCCTGCCCCCCTTTGCTTTCTTCTTTCCTTGCCCAGACCCCTCCCCCAACTTAGTTGACGTTGCACAAAGCTTTCAAAAAAACAAGTTTTGTTCCCAGGTCAGCTATATCCTCCCAGGAAGTTTCCCCATCCCAGGGTGAAGTCAGGCCAACACAGGGTGAAGAGTTAGGAGGTCAGGGGCGGGGGAGGGGCGGGTGTTTTGCACGGGACAAGGAGTTCTTTTTTGTTGTTGTTATTCTTTGCGTCATTTCCAGAGAGACAGGAAGGAAAACATAGTAAACATTCTTCAATTCTGCACAAAAGCCGAGAAGGGATTTTCTTCAGGAACCTCCTTGTGGCTCTGCCATGGCGGGGAGGGTTGGGGGTAAGAAATATAAGACCCAATTCCCTGTGGAGGCGGGGATTCGGTGAAACCAATCCCTTGAATGTGGGGTGGAACCAACATGTAACTCAATTTGCTTTGGCTCTCACTGTGCATTTGAGCTAAAGCAAGGGAAGCATTTCCCCTTCCCCTGGCTGAAAGCTCAGCTGACCCCGAGGCTCTTCTGGTCATGCTTAGGTATGTACATTTTATGTCACGAAATCCAGTATCGACTTAGAGATTTAAAGCAGCCACCCAAAGATATTAAATGACTCTTGCATTTTTCTTCAAAGAGAAATCTTCTTCCTCCTGCCCTAGTTAAGGCCTTAGTTGGGGGCTGCCAGCTGCCAGGGACTGGGCATGGTGGCTTTTGTCTATTCTCTCCCGAATACCCCTCTCCCCACTTGCTGGTTGCTTTCAGAGTCTAAGTGGAGGTGGTGGGTGAGGATGCAGGGAAGCGGATGGGGAGCAGGGGAATAGGGCAGTTTTTACTTGACTGTATGATTGCCAGCTCTCTGGGTGTGGCAGATGGTGAAAGCTCTTTCTGGAGGGTTCCCTGTGTTCTTCAGAAGTTCCCATCTCAGCCAGGCTTGGTGGCTCACGCCTATAATCCCAGCACTTTGGAAGGCGGAGGCGGGCAGATCACTGGAGCCCAGGAGTACTAGACCAGCCCGAGCAACATGGCTAAACCTCATCTCTACCAAAAATACAAAAAGTATCTGGGGGTGGTGCTGCACGCCTGTAGTCCCAGCTACTTGGGAGGCTGAGGCAGGAGGATTGCTTGAACCCAGGAGGTAGAGGTTGCTGTGAGCCGAGTTTGGGCCACTGGACTCCAGCTTGGGCAACAGAGTGAGACCCTGTCTTAAAAAAAAAAAAAAAAAAAGTTCCCATCTCTAAGGTTTTCTCCTGAAGTTCCCTGTTCTGCACCTCCATTTCAGGTACAGCTATGACTCCATCTTCAACCCCTAGAAATCCAGCATCCTCTTCCAACTTCTTTCTGCTGACATCCCTTTGCCCTTCTCAGAGGCCCTACAGGACTTAAAATGACCCCCACCTTGGCCCTCTCTCCTGCCATGGTCCATCTGATCCACATGTGGCCCATGGGAAGAACTCACACAGCCCCTTCACTCATCCTAATGCAGTCCCTCCTGGCACAGTCCCATGGGGGCCCACAGCTCCAAGTGGCTGCATGGAAGCCCCCATCACTAGGCTTGAGTTGAAAGCAGTAGGGCCCCTAACTCCTTGGTGGGGTAGCTTACAGCATGGCTTTGCCCTTTCTGGAAGTTTCTATTTCCAAACTCTCCCCATTCTCCACACTCTATATTGTTGGTAGGCTGAGGGCCCTGAGTGCTATGCAACTGGTTCCCCATTATTTCCTTTGTAAATACTACATATGGGAGTCTGTCTCATGTTCAGTTTGCTATCTGATGATATTGTGGTAGCCTGCTTCCACAATGGCCCCTCATTGTCCCCATCTCCTGGTATTCACATCATTGTGTCTCCTCCCTCCGTGAACAGGGCCGACCCTTGTAGCCACTTGCTATTGCAGAGCTGATGGCATGCATCTTCTGAGGCTAGGTCATTGTTGTGTGTTTAATGATGTCCCCCAGAAGATATGTTGCAGCCCTAACCCCCAGGGCCTATAAATGTGACCTTTTCTGGAAATAGTCTTCGCAGTTGTAATCAAGGGTTGTTCTTGACTAGAGTGGGCCCTACATCCAATGACTGGTGTTCTCATAAGGAGAGAGAGACAAAGAGTAGACAGACACAAGGGAGAAGGCCGTGTGAAGATGGAGACAGAGATTGGAATGATACAGCCACAAGCCAAGAAACATCTGCGGCCGTCAGAAGTTGGAAGAGGCAAGGAATGATTTATTCTTTCCCACTCATTGTTTCACCAATGAGCACCTTCCATGTGCCACCGTTCTGACCCTGCTGACAATGTGGTTTCAGACTTCTGGCCCCCAGAACTGTGAAAGAGTAAATTTCTGTTAAGTTATCTTGCTTGTGGTACTTTGTTACAGCAGCCCTGTGGATCTAATATAGTCATAAGAGACATTGTGACCTCCTCCCTGCTCTCTTGAACCACTCATTCTGGGAGAAGTCAGCTGCCATGTCATGAAGCTACTCAGGGAGGTCCATGGAGAGGTCCACATGGCAAGGAACTGAGGCCTCCTGCCAGTAGCCAGCACCATCTTGCTGGCCATGTGAGCGTGCCATCTTAGATGCAGATCATACGGCCCCAGTCAAGCCTTCAAATGACTGCATCCCTACTTGACATTTTGACTGTAACCTCATGACAAACCCTAAGCCAGAACACCAGCTAAGCCACTCCCCAATTCCTCATCAAGAGAAACTGAGATAATAAATGTTTATTATTGTTTTAAGCTACTAAATTTTGAGGTAATCTGTTATGTAGCAATAGATAACTAATACTGATATCTGTCATATTGGGGCCTCAGTGTAACTTGGAACAGAAAGAGTTCCATATTATAATTCTTAAACATTACTTGGAATGGTTAGGGGCCCCAGTGCTATTCTCTCTGGGGATATTTCCAGCAATGGGCCCCACAGCCATTTATAGTGAGTTGTCCCACTTACTCTTTCACCAGTGAGCACTTTCCATGTGTCAGATGCCATATTAGAGACTGGGGCTATAGAAATGAACAGTCTTTTGGGAGGCCGAGGCAGGTGGATCACCTGAGGTCAAGAATTTGAGACCAGTCTGACCAACATGGAGAAACCCCGTCTCTACTAAAAAAAAAAAAAATACAAAATTAGCTGGGTGTGGTGGTGCATGCCTGTAATCCCAGCTACTTGGGAGGCTGAGGCAGGAGAATCACTTGAACCTGAGAGGCGGAGGTTGTGGTAAGCCAAGATTACACCATTGCACTCCAGCCTGGGCAACAAGAGTGAAATTCCATCTCAAAAAAAGAAAAAAAAGAAATGAACAGCCCTGTTCTTAATCACTTAACCAGTGGTCATTATGGTCTCTGCTAGTAGAGCACTATGGGCAAGAAGGACAGCACTGCTTTGCAGGGAAGGGAAAAGAGAGACATCACTGAGGCACTGAAGAGGAGAAGCATTCAGTGGTATGACCTTGAAGAGACAAGAAGAGGACCAAGTTCAAGAGTCTGCAAGAACAGTGGGAGGTAGAGCTGGAACTAGAATCCAGACACCCCACTTCTAGTCTTGAATTTGCGCTTCCTGAACTACACAGAGGCTGGCTCATGGTACCAGGGTCTCTAAAGATACCTGGAGGCATGAACTTGAATCCTGCTGGGATACTACTCTTTGAATAATAATTTCTCTATGGAAAGGCAGGGTACAAAGTCTTGGAATCTTGTTTCTGCTCTGCCATCTTAGCTAAATAACTCCCTTTGGAGATCCTTTGAACCCTGATAGATCAGCAAGCCCCCTCTGAAACATCATAAGCCTCAGGGCAAGAAGGCTGGCCTTCTCCTCCATCTGAATCCCAGCCCTTCTTTTTTTGAGATGGAGTTTTGCTCTTGTTGCCCAGGCTGGAGTGCAATGGCGCGATCTCGGCTCACCACAACCTCTGCCTCCTGGGTTCTAGCGATTCTCCTGCCTCAGCCTCCTGAGTAGCTGGGATTACAGGCATGCAAAACCATGCCCTGCTAATTTTGTATTTTAAGTAGAGACAGGGTTTCTCCATGTTGGAAAGGCTGGTCTTGAACTCTCGACTTCAGGTGATCCGCCCGCCTCTAGCCCTTCTTAGTAGTGGTGTTTTCTAAACAGGTTAGATAAGAATTTGACACCTGCTGAAATCTCCAGGCTGGCTCCTCCCAAGGTCAAATTGCACATCTTGCCAACGAGAACAGCCTTCACTTCTTGAGCATCTACTCAGCAGCAAGTGATTTCTCTAATCTTCACAACACCCTCTCAAGGCAAGGGATCATGGGCCACACTTGGCAATCTAGGAAAGTGAAGTTCAAGAACAAGCCCCAGGACACACAGCTAGTGACAGCGAGGCACAGAGCTGGGATTCCAACCCAGGCCTGTCTAACCCTAAAGCTCCTCCTATCCACCTCCTCCTTGCTGCCACAGAAGGTGACTCAGAGGTACTCAGTCTGGAGAATTCAAGCCAGTATCCCAGGAAGTGGAATTTTCTCCAGTGTTCTAGGAAGGAGGGATTACCATGGCATGGGGTGGGCCAGGTAGACACAAGAGGCAGTGAAGGTGCATAAAGTGGTGATTAAAGGGAATGGAGTCTACTGTGGTTTGGATATGGTTGCGTCAACCTAAACTCATGTTGAAATTTGACCCTCGGTGTGGTGGTGGTGGGAGGTGGGGCCTAGTGGGAGGTGTCTGGGTCATGGGGGCAGATCTCTCATGAAGGGCTTAGTGCCATCCTCACAGTGGAGAGTGAGTTTTCACCCTGGCAAGACTGGATTCTTGTAGGAATGGATTTGTTCCCAAGACAGTGGGTTGTTATAAAGCCAGGATGCCCCTTGGGTTTTCCCTTCTTTGCAAGTGTTCACTCTCCCTTTGACCTTCTGTATGTCGCAGCCCTCACCAGAGGCTGAGCAGATGCTGAGGCCATGCTTCTTGATTCTCCCAGCCAACAGATCTGTAAGCTGAATAAACCTCTCTTCTTTATAAATTACCCCGTCTCAGGTATCCTGTTATGGCAACACGAAATGGACTAAGACAGGCGGGTGACAGATTGTCCAGGTTTGAAACATAGCTTTTCCTTGTGCACCGCATCTCAGGTTCTTCATCTGAAAATTGGGGATAAGAACATGTACCTCCTTGGGTTTGGGGGAAGATTAAATGAGATAATGCATGTGAAATTCATGGCAAGAGTAAACTGCCCATTACATCTTTCTGCTTTTAACATTGCTATTGACATTACTTTCCCTCCATGGTCACTAGACTCTTGTATCAGGCCAGTATTTGAAGACAGACAAATTTAAACGAAATAGATGTAACTTGGAGGATGATGGCAGAGAAATCTGTGGCTTGACGGTTTTTTTTTTTTTTTTTTTTTTGAGACAGAGTCTTGCACTGTTGCCCAGGCTGGAGTGCAGTAGCATGATCTCAGCTCACTGCAACCTCCGCCTCCCGGGTTCAAGCGATTCTCCTTCCTCAACCTCCCTAGTAGCTGGGATTACAGGTGCCCGCTACCATGCCTGCTAATTTTTTGTATTTTTATAGAGACAGGGTTTCACTATGTTGGCCAGGCTGGTCTCGAACTCCTGACCTCGTGATCCACCCGTTTCGGCCTCCCAAAGTGCTGGGATTACAGGCGTGAGCCACCGCGCCTGGCCTTGAAGGTTGTTTTTCTAATTTTTTTTCCCAGCTCTAAGACAGCTCCCTGTGTAAGATGATGAGTGTGATTAATTGCAATCAGCTCCTCTCCATGTAATGAGGGAAGCTGGATGTCATCCTCTGGCTTCTGTCCAAGCTGATGCAGTTACCTATTGTGTCCACAGGATGTCACTATCAATCACGCTTCGACTGAGTACAGCCAAACCAGGATACTCAGGGACTTGGAATCTGTTACCAGACTTTTATTTAGTACAGACACAGCGCCAGGGGGCTGAGCATTCTTCAGCAACACCCTTTGGACCCCTTTCTACACCATCATGCTGTATGAACAGAAGGGTTGGGGACATGAAGGAGCAGCTCAGCTAAGGTGACCCAGATGGTTGGGCTCAGAGCTGGAAGAACACCGTGGTCTTCTGACTCCCAATTCCTGCATCTGTCCTGCTTGTAAGAGGCTTGCCAAGAACAGGAGCTTTTGTTTGTAGGTCTCTAGGGATGGCCACCACAGGGAGTGTGATTTGAAGATGGGGTCGGCGTGACATTACAGGCCCCCTTTAGGCTCTGCTGGGTTGCAGGCCAGCTCTCTGGGCTGCCTTTCTGATGGCTGCTATTTTAAAGGCAGATAGGATGAAGTTAGCAACAACTTATATCATTAAACTAGCAAGGGCTCAGGAGGGGCAGCCCCCTTCTGGGAATGTGCCTAGCTCCTGCTCCAGAATGGAGGAGTTTCTGTGGCTCTAGGAGAGCTGGCCTTCTATGGAGTCTGAGCAATGTACCGCACGGGGAGGAGAAGACGCTTCCAGAAGATACCAGTGTTTCTATCCAGAGACGTTTCCAGGACACCACGTTAAGCAGCAGAGACACTAGAAGCCAAGGCACCTATGGTCTGGTGTGGATGTGTGCCTCCTGTGCCTCAGTGGCATCATCCGTACCATGGGAGGTGTGTAATGAGGGGTGAGATCACGTCTGTGAGGGCACGTACATAGTAGATGCCCAGGAAGTGCCAGTCCCCATCTCCTTCCCAGTTTCTTCAAAGCCTTCTGGAAGGCACTGGCATAGCCCAGTCCTGAGGCACTGCTTTTTCTTTCATGGATGATCAGGAGCTTCTGTGATTTCTTCCCCCTCACTCTTCATTTTGCCAAGATGTTGCCCATAGTAACCTCAGCAGTGGAGCGAGGATTCTGCACTGTTCCACTGCCCTGGGGCTGCACACCCACGTGAGCGGGGCCGACCCGTCCCAGAGCGCTTTGCCCTCAGAAGGCAGCATCACCTGCAGGAGCAATGCCATGGACAGCTCTGGCTTGTCCTCCAGGGCCCTGGCATGGTCAGTGAGAAAATGCCCCTGGGGCATGGGCTTCTCCTGTCAGTCAAGTTCAGAAGGCTTCCTGGGGTAGGTAGAGACGCTCCCTACCCAGCTGAGTTATTGAAATGATAGGAGGGAGAAGGGAAGGTCTGGGCATGTGGCACTGTGATTTTTTTTTCTTTCTTCTTTTTTTTTTTTTTTTTTTTTGGAGACTCGGGGTAGAAATGAGGACAGGAAGAAGTACAATCCGTCTGGGATTGGTTTATTTTTATTGCTTTTTAAAATCATGTGACTAATTGGTGTTCATTGAAAAAGAGAAAACAAAAATAAGCCAAGAGAAGACAGCAAAAATAATCTGTTAACATCTTGGCAAATATCCTTTTTCTCTGCATAGAAACGGAGAATACTTTTGTTTCACTTATAAAATGTTTCTTAATGTACACAGCTTTATAACCTGCTTTTTGCTTAATGGGACAATATACTAGGACATGTTTTCAGGCCAACAGATAAATATACTTCACTTGCATTGATGCTATTGGCTCCATGGTGTTCTGGTGGTTGGTAATTTACCCTGTCATTCTGTCTCCCTTTACTCAGTGGCAAAAATGACCTGGGCACCTGCACCTGGGCCTGGGCTGGACATCAGTCCTTGGCAGATGGGGAAGGTTGGCGACCAGCAAGGCACAGAATAAGGACACACGGTCCCAGCAGACCCTTGGGATGACCTTGACCACTTGGACCTTGGAGAGAGAGTGGAGAGGAGAAGAACAGAGGGCAAAGCCACATGGAAGGGAGGGTGCAGGTGGCTGGTGGCTGGAACTCCTAGAGGCTGAGCAGTGGGGGTTGCAGGAGAGAACTGGCTCCTTCTAGACAGGGGAATATCGTGGTTAGGGTTCTGGAGTCAGATTCAATCTGGGCTCTGTCACCTACTAGCTGGGGAACAAATAATTGCGCCTTGGATCATCACCTATAAAACTAATAATAGCTACTAATCAGATTGATGTAAGTGCCAGGATTAAATGAGAGAGTCTACAAGCTATAAAAAGTGCTATGTGGCAGCTGCCTTTAAACATTCCTAACATTGGCTTTGTTATTATTGTTGCTGCATTTCCAGGTAACGCAGAAGGGCTTCTCTCTTCCCTAGCCCATCCCTCTGCCTCATTTCTCTCACATTCCTGCTTCTCCTCTTTCTCTTCCTTTTCAACCCTGCAAAAGCCTTGGCTTCGGGAGCAGTGGCAGGAGGGAGGGAAGAGGAGGCTGCAGCCGCTACAGCCTCATGCCACATGGGGGCAGCAAGGCCCTCTGAAATGTGGGCCTGCCTCTCCCACCGCACCTTCTGGCGGGTGCAATGGCCCAGAAGAAAGAAATCCATACCCACCTGGGCCCAGGTAGGGGGGCACTGCCCAGAGGGGTCCCACGGTCCCCAGCCTGGGTCAGCCAGGCCCTGGCAGAGTGGGTGACTGTTACGACAGGTCCCAGGAAGGCAGGGTGCCCCAGAGTGGGGCCGGGTCTGCTCAAGAGGGAGTTGGAGAATCTGGAGAAGGGTGGGAAGGAGGTGTGAGAGTCCTCCAGGAACCTACAAGCCTCCAGGTGCCATGAGAGATGGTCCTGGAAAATTGGCCAGCCGAACTTGGTCTTTGGGACAACCCAGAAGAGAGAATTAAGTGGGAGTCAGTATAGCACAGTGGCTCAGCACATGGGCTCTGGGGGCTGGCTGGACCTGGCGTCCACTAGTGGCTCTGGCGCTTACCAGCTGTGTGGCCTGGATCAATTCACTTAACCTCTCTGAGCCTCCATTTCCTCACCTGTAAATAATAGTGGTACCTACCTCATAGAGTTTGTGAAAACTAAGTAAGGTAATATACATGGAGCACTTGGCACACTGCCCAATCCATGGCAGCTTAGTTATTTTTATCATTATCAGGTAAGTTGGCCTGAAGAGCTGGGAGACAGTTATGTATAGAAAATGAATGTGCTGGCCGTGCACATGCATGGTGGCTCAAGCCTATAATCCTAGCACCTTGGGAGGCAAGGTGAGAGGACTGCTTGAGGCCAGGAGTTCAAGCCCAGCCTGGCCAGCATGGTGAAACCCCATCTCTACTAAAAATACAAAAATTAGCTGGGGGTGGTGGCACATGCCTGTAGTCCTAGCTACTCAGGAGGCTTAGGCAGAAGAATTGCTTGAACCTGGGAGGTGGAGGTTGCAGTGAGTCAAGATCACGCCACTGTACCTCAGCCTGGGCAACAGAGTGAGACTCCCTCTCAAAAAAAAAAAAAAAAGAAAAGAAAAGAAAAAGAAAAAATGTGTTTCCCCAAGTTCACAGCTGTGGCTGGGTATTCTTTGCAGAACCAAGTTGGAGTATGCATGGCTGGGGATCTGGAGAGGAAAGAATTGGGGGGTTGGGGTCAAAGGGCAATCATAATAAAGAACAAGGGGTGGGGGCCTCTAGGCTTGGCTGCTTTGAAACCAGGTAAAGACTCCAGTCGCCTTCCTGGTTAAGGAACATGTTGTATGTGTTCACACCACACCTCTTTCCTCCAGGCTGCCCTTGAAGCAGTCCCACTCCTCCTGGGGGTGCAGAGCAGGGGTCCACAGTGGTGCCTGCATGGGAAGCAGAAGAGGGCTGGCATGGAGAAGGGGGGCTCAGTGACCTTAAGCATCTAAGGCCTGATGGTCAACTTGGGTCCACCCTGCAGGGAAGCAGGTGCCCCTGCTGGCCTTCTTGCCATGCACAGGCAGACTGGGCCCTGGACCAGGCCTCCCACTTCCTGCTAATGAGGCGCGGCTCCTCCAAGGGCAGAGGGGCTATGCTCCTGGCAGGCGGGCTAGCACGTTGGTGAGCAAGGGTGAGAGTATGTCTGCCTGTGTTCTTTTAACTTCTGCAGAAAGGTCACCGAGGGGTCTCCATTACGAGCGGTCTTGAGCCCTGTACTATTTTTTCATACAATTTAATCTACTCCCTGGATGGCCTCCAGTGTGTGAGCCACTGACAATCGCAGGTTTTTGCAATTGATTTCCTGGAAGCAGCGGCCCAGCCGGCAGCCACATGATGGATGTATGCTAGGCAACCTGGTTCAGCAGAGGCTGAAGGGGCTTAGGAACCCCAGGCTGCCCTCCCACACCATGGCAAGGTCCCTGAAATGTCGGAAGCATGCACTTCTGCCCTCCAGCTCCACCCTGAATCATCAATGCCTGGAGAACCACTCACACATGTGCACAAAGAGACATGGGTGAGCATGCTCGGTGCAGAATTGTTTGTATGGTAAAAACTGGAGCCACCTTATCTCTTCATCAGGCAGGGCTGCTGCATTCTGGGTGTGGATGGCATCCCCTGGAATTGTGCAGAGGCACCATTTACCATGAAAACCTTTTGACCCATGTCCTCTAGAGCTGGGACCCTGAGTGAGGGGGAGTGAGAGGGGCGTGGTTGAATCAACTGTGTTACAGGCACGCATGGAATATTAGGTAGAGGTTAAAAACAAAAAATGAGGATAGCCAGGTGTGGTGGTGCTCACCTGTAGTCCCAGCTACTCATGAGGCTGAGGCAGGAGGATTGCTTGAGCCCAGGAGGTTGAGGGTGCAGTAAGCTATGATTGTATTAGTGCACTCTAGCCTGGGCAACAGAGTGAAACCGCATCTCTAGAAGAAAGAAAAAAAAAAAAGAGGAAGTCCTATTTTTGTTGACATGAGAAAATGTCCAGAATATACAGTTATGGGGGAAAAGTTGCAAAGCAATGTGGTCAGCATGATCCCCTTCATGTAAAATCAAAGCAAAACAAAGATCTTGACATCATCCCCCTGGGTACATACATGTATTATGCATGTAAACGCCCAGAAGTCTGGGATGATTGGGGAAAACGGTGATATTGGCCGGAAATGGAATAAAAGGAATTTTTCACTTTTCTTTCTTTCTTTCTTTCTTTTTTTTTTTTTTTGAGACAGATTCTTGCTTTGTCACCTGTCACCCAGGCTGGAATGCAGTGGCAAGATAGCTCACTCCAACCTCTGCCTCCCGAGTTCAAGCGATTCTCCTGCCTCTGCCTCCCGAGTAGCTAGGATTACAGGCACGCACCAATACACCCGGGTAATTTTTGTATTTTTAGTAGAGATGGGGTTTCACCATGTTGGCCAGGCTGGTCTTGAACGCCTGACCTCAAGTTATCCACCCGCCTCGGCCTCCCAAAGTGCCGGGATTACAAGTGTGAGCCACCGCGCCTGGCTCACTTTTCTTCTCTCTTTACCTCTGTGCTCACATTTTTTCCCCAGGGAGGGAAAAAAAAATTGTGTAAAAATAAAAAAAGAAAAAGAAACTTCCCTCCTTTCTTCTTTGCCTGTTACCTAACTCCCTTATCCGTCAAATCCTTCCCCAAATTCCCAAATTCCCATTTTTTATCATCTCCTACGGAGAGCAGCTCCCTCCAAAGTTCCTTCCCATTTACTCTCCAAGAACGAGCCCTGGGCAGGAGAGCTGGACATTGCCTGGACCCACATCAAAAGGCTCCTGCTGTGCTGGAAGGGTCAAAGCATCCTAGGCCCATCCTGGCCTTGTGATCTGAGTCTGGGGCTGCGGTGGCCAGGTTGTCCAGTGGACACTGTAGAGGCAGCCTCGGGGTGAGAAGCCCCTCATGTGGACCCGCAGCAGGGGACATAAGTGGGAAGGAACCCAAAGGCTCAGGGGGAAGCAGGGGTGTCGCTACATCAAGTAAAGCTCCTTCTCGCACCTGCCAGCATGCTGGGAGGATGCTACCTCTAGCATCCTAGGGATGGCAGAAAGGGGCAAGCATGGCTCTGCCTCCTGCCTCTGTGCCTGGTGCAGGCTCCACTGTGGTGTGGGGTCTCTGGCAGTGAGGACTAGGCTACAGCCACCACTCTGGCCTGTGAATCCTAAAGGAGCCAGGGCATGACAGTCCCCACTGCCAACCTAGAGTCCCTCAAACTCTCTATCTAGCCTGGCACTGCCTCCCTCGTCCTGCCAGACCCAGGGCAACAGCTGTGACTCTCCAGGGCTGTGCTCTGAGGGAGGAGCCCTTCCATTCTAGAGATTGCATGGTTGCCAAGCCTACCAAGGGCCCAGCCTTCACTGCCCGGGGAGCCTTTGTTTTCTCCTTCCTTGTTCTAGAAGGAAGAATGGGGGCTAGGGGCACGATCATGTACTATACACCTCTTCTGAGATAGGATCCCAGCTGGTTTCCTGATACTTCAGCCCATTCACATTCCTTAACTGCCCTATAGATGAGGCTCACAGACATGGGAGTGATGGGGTGTGATTTGGCCACACAACCCAAAGATATGGAGCTGAGACCCATACCCAGGTCCTTCCATCCCAGGGGCCACTCATTCCTACAATGCCTCAGTGCAGGCTTGCTGCTCTGCAGGCTCAGAGAGGATGCTTACCCTTTACTCCTGGTGAGCAGAGAACCTAGCCACGGAAGGAAGCCCAAAGAGGGACAAGCTCCTGGGGCTCCTGGGGGCCCCCCAGCCCTCCCTGACCCTCCTCTGCGGGGGCTGCTTCCAGGGGTCTTCCTTGCTTCCCAGTCCTCTGCATGCTTCCCTGACACCTCCACTTATGGAGCTCAGACCCTGCTTGCTGGAGTCAGGTCAGCCGGGCCTTGACCCCGCCCCTCCCCTGCTTGTGGATTTAGGGGCCTTTTTGCTGGCATCACCCTGTCCCAGCCAGACCGGGAGGACCCCTTCTTCTAAGCTCTCAGCCCTTCCTGCCAACATCTTTTAGCCAAGATTCAGCGAATCAGCAAAGTCTGACGGTTAACATGGCTCCCATCCCAGCTCTGTCATCACTAGCCATGTGACCTTGAGAATGTCTCGGAACATCTGTCTCCCAGTTTTGTCATCTATAAAATGGGGATGCTAACAGCGATATTCCTAGAGCTGTTGCAAGCGTCAAACATACACATAATTGGAACAGCTCCCCGCTGTGGTTTGTGCTCTGTATATCTTTACTGTTATTGTTATCTTTTTCTTCCTCTGAGCTCCTTCCACAGGATGGGTTATTCTGCAGATCCATGACTGGAAGGAAATTAGAGTGGGCTGGATGGAAACCAGGCCGTGGGCCTGATGAAACTGCCATATGGTGCTTTGCTCAGAGCTGTATACAAGAAGAACAAGTTCATATGCCAGTTGGGTGGTGGTGGAGATTGGGGAGGGAAGTAACAAGGACAGGGCTTTGCATATGCTCTATTTTTTGCCCCCTACCTTCCCCTAAAGCCCGTGGCCTCCAATCCCCATTGTCTCCCTTTCCTTTGGGTCTCTGGGTCTCTGATCGTCTTGTGAAAAACCCCATGGAGAGGCGGGGCAGCTGGAAAGAGGAGGAAGTGAGATGGATAACCATGCTGTCTAGTGGCTGGATAACCATGCTGTCTAGTGGCTGGCGCCCTGCGTGTGCTCAGCTACTGGCAGGTTCTACTGTGGTGTTTAACAGTAACTGTGAGCAGGCTGGGTGCAGTGGCTCACGCCTGTAATCCCAGCACTTTGGGAGGCCGAGGCGGGTGGATCACGAGGTCAGGAAATCGAGACCATCCTGGCTACCACGATGAAACTCTGTCTCTACTAAAAATACAAAAAATTAGCCGGGCGTAGTGGCAGGTGCCTGTAGTCCCAGCTACTCGGGAGGCTGAGGCAGGAGAACGGCGTGAACCCAGGAGGCGGAGCTTGCAGTGAGCCGAGATGGTGCCACTGCACTCCAGCCTGGGTGACAGAGTGAGACTCCGTCTCACAAAAAAAAAAAAACAAAAAAAAACCAGTAACTGTGGGCAAAGCCAATGTGAGTCTCGCAAGCCAACTGTGGTTTGTCTTTATTTCTTTCTCTCTACAAGAGACCCTTAAAAAGAAAGTCATTCTTGATACAAAGCACTGGGAACCCTCACAGTTGGCCCTAAAAACAACCAATAGCTCCTTATCTGGCACATGTATATCTCTTTGTTTTCCCCCGCTGTGTTGCCCCTGAAAATACCATGTCTGTCCTGCTCGCCACTGAGTCCTGATGCACCAAGCATGAACTAACGATTGATCTGCACTTGTAGACAGGGTGATGGAGAAGGGATCTGCAAACTTGGGAGCTTTACCAGAGAGCTAACACCTGTGAAAGGGCCTCATACAGTGTCTAGCACATAGTAGGTACCCCATAAATGCCACTTGACTCTGAGTCTGGGGGGCTGTTTGGTTGTCACCAATTTTGATGTATTTCTGGGCTAACATGTCCAGCAAGCAGGTGTGACCACACCCAGCCTGTTCAGGCTTAGCCAAAGAACTAGCAGCCAGTCCTTCCTGTGCAATGAGCCCAGCTCCAGCAGCTCACGTTGACTCCACCCAACCAGCTCTCTCAGCGGGTGATACCTGCCTTCTGCTGCGCAGGGTCTTTAATGCAATGTGTCTGTTTCAGGGTTGCCTCCTGAGGAGGGTAGAAGCCACCTCTAGCAACCCTCTGCTCAGCAGATAATGTCCCTTGCTAGCACCGATCCAAGGGGAAACAGGACCCACAGGCCCTTTGCAAAGGCTTCTTGAGGATAAGGAGGTGTTTCCCTCTGGGGTTCCTCTCTCGGCATTGAGGACTAAGGCATTTTCACAGCAACAGAATTCACTGTCTGACTAGTGCTTCCTGGAAGTCAAAACATGGTCAAGATCAGGTGACCAGGGGCCTCTAGAAGCCTTTGTCATAGTCATCTCCATGCTTTTACGTAACTTGGCCAGCCTGGACACACAGGTGACCTGCTACTCCTTGAGGGTTCTTAGGGCAGAGGAACCTCTGGCCAGGCCTCCTGGTGACTGGAAATGATGCGTGCTGAACTGCTGAGCATGCCTGCAAGGCCAGTGTAAACCACCATCCAGCCCCACCCCCACTCCCGCCCCACCTGCAGGCCCCCCTTGGGTACTCTAATGTGCCTGCGCCTGCCCACCTCGGGGCCTTTGTTACACAAAGACTTGCAAGCAGTGGTTCTGAAACTCGAACATGCATCGGAAGCCCCTGGTACGCTCATTCACGGATTCTGGGCCTCTTCCGCAGAGTTCCCAATTCAGTGGGTCTGGGGTGGGGCCTGACAGTTTGCCTTTCTTACAAATTTCTTTGCTGAAGTGGCTCACACCTGTAATCCCAGCACTTTGGGAAGCTGAAGCAGGAGAATTGCTTGAGCCCAGGAGTTTCAGACCAGCCTGGAAAACATGACAACACCTGTCTCTACAAAAAATAAAAAAATTAGGCCAGGCGTGGTGGCTCACACCAGTAATCCCAGCACTTTGGGAGGCTGAGGTGGGTGGATCACCTGAGGTCAGAAGTTCAAGACCAGCCTGGTCAACATGGTGAAACCCCGTCTCTACTAAATATACAAAAATTAGCCGGGTGTGGTGGCTGGAGCCTGTAGTGCCAGCTACTCAGGAGGCTGAGGCAGGAGAATTGCTTGAACCCGGGAGGCAGAGGTTGCAGTGAGCCGAGATCATGCCATTGTGCCCTAGCCTGGGGCAACAAGAGTGAAACTTCGTTCCAAAAAAAAAAAAAAAAAAAATTAGCTGGGTGTGGTGGTGTGCACCTGTAGTCCCAACTACTTGGGAGGTGGGAGGATCACTTGAGCCCAGGAGGTTGCAGTGAGCTATGTTTGCACCACTGCACTCCAACCTGGAAAACAAAGTGAGACCCTGTCTCTAAAAAAAAAAAATTTAAACCAGATTCCTTGGTGATTCTTATGCTGCTAGGCCAGGGGCCACATTATGAGAACCACCAGTATAAGCTATTTCTTCATTTGTCACTTCCTCGGGGAACCCTTCCTTGACCTCACCAAACAGATGAGGTTCTCGTACTAGGTGCTTTCATGGGATCCAATACTTCTCCTTCATGTCACTTATCACATTTTGCATTTACTATAAATTTATAAAAATGTTAAATTGATGTCAGTCTCCCTCTTAAGCCTATGTCTGTTTTACATACCTTTGTCTCCCTGGTACCTAGTATGGCGCCTTGTACATAGTAGATGCTCAACAAATCACTGCTGTATGAATGAATGAATGAGTGAGTGAATGAGTGAATACATGCAAAAGACATTCAGAGGCTTTCCTATGGTCACTATCAGCTCAGGCAACCCTGAGCACTAGGAGAGCATGGCTACTGGAACCAGATTCTCTGGGTTCAAATCCAGTTGGTTATTACTAGCTGTGTGACCTTGAATTGGCTACTTAATCTCTCCACGTGTCACCATTCTTGTCTGCAAAATGGTAATGTTACTAGTACCTGTGAGTAGTTCATAGGGTTGTACGAGGATTAAATGAGCTAATTTGTCTAGAGGGCTTCCTTTTCTGCCTACCACATGTGAAATACTATCCAAGGTGATGGCTTAATTGTTACCAAAGTGCCTGGCACGGAGGCCCCGCTTGCTTTATTTTAATAAGACCCTGGGCCAGGAACGGTGGATCACACCTGTAAGCCCAGTATTTTGGGAGACTGAGGCAGGTGGATCACCTGAGGTGAGGAGTTTGAGACTAGCCTGGCCAACATGGAGAAACCCCGTCTCTACTAAAAATACAAAAATTAGCTGGGCGTGGTGGTGCATGCCTGTAGTCCCAGCTACTTGGGAGGCTGAGGGAGGAGAATTGCATGAATGCAGGAGGCGGAAGTTGCAGTGAGCCGAGATCGCGCCACTGCACTCCAGCCTGGGCGAAAGAGCAAGGGTCTGTCTCAAAACAAAACAAAACGAAACAAAACAAAAAAACAAAGGCTCTGTCTAGGGATCAGCTTCTGGAGCATTTCCTCTGGTCGACTTGGGCAAGACCTAGACACAAGGAAGTAGCCCAGATTTGGGTTTGGATGAACTTTCCCAGAGTGCTCCATCCCCACCTACCAGGCCTCCATGATGGTCACACACAGTGCATGTTGGGCGGTGGAGGGCCTGGCTCCCGCTCCTCCAGCTGCTCCCCACGTGGATGGAGCTGGTGTTTCTGGCCTTCCCTTACCACCACCGGCCTGGTTTGGAGCTGACTCACCGCCAGGAGGGGGTGGTGATTAGTATGCAGGGCGAGTACTGGGAGGAAAGCTGTCTCCACGCAACAACTCTTGATGTGTTTCTCTGATTAATGTGGCAGAGAGAACATTGCAGCTTTTTCCTGAATGGTCGCCACGTGGAGCCGGAGTCATTAGCATTGTGTCTCCTGCTTGCCATGACCCGCTGACCAACCTAAGTAGATAAAAATGAAAATGGCCAAGACAGCTGCAAGGCTCAGAAACAAACTGCCTGGTGGCTTTGCAGCCATGGGAGAGTCTTTTATGTGGAAGGTTTCTGGAACAGCCCTGCCTTCTCCATCCTTTCACACGCCTCCAAAGCCATCCCTAAAGTTTTTGCTTCTGTATCTGCTGGTTCCTAGGGAGGTCAGAATTCCTTTCTCAGGAGTGGAGCCCAAGTGGGGGCACCTGTATTAAAACCTCCCCCAAGGGTGTGTGCTCCAAGCCAAAAGAGTGTGGGAGGAGGGGACAGGGGCTTTAGGGGGAGGGATCAGATTGGGCAAAGGACAGGAGATAAGGGAGCCAGGACAAGGAGGGGTCTGTGATGGATCAACCAGGCTAGGGCAAAAGAGGGCACGAGAAGACCTGAACTGAGAGCAACAGGGAGTTCGTTGTGCAGGCTGGACAGGAGGATAGATTGGGGGCCCAGTCTGGAAGTGGGGAGAACCATGAGGAAGCCGTTTTCATAATCCAGCAGGGAGTACACCTGCACATTCCTCAGTACGCTTCCTCCCCACCCCGGGGAGCTCTGTGCATCTATGTGCAATCTCTGGAGGCTAAAAGCTTGTGTTGCTCAAGGAAACTGACACAACCAGTGGCGACCTGACAGCTTCCCGAGGATAGGAGTGATGGTCGGGGTGCTCCTTCTATAGCTCTGCTTCCTCCTGGGCTCTTTGGGCTTGGACCCGTGTGGCCATGTTGCCCTGAATTATTGCTTTTGGATGTTTTTTTTTTTTCTAATTTGCCATATTCCTTCTCTGGTTCTCAGTTTCCCCATCCATGCAATGAGGGTGGGTCAATGGTGCCTGAGCTTGCTGGGAAGCAGGATAAGACACAAAGGCAGCACCAGACATCAGGAAGCTAGAGTTCAAGCCGGCACCACTCCCCCGCATTGTGCCTCTGCCACCGACCCCACACCACCATCCCCACTCTATTTGGGTGGTGGTCTTCAAGACAGCCCCACGGCTTCCCCTTGCCAGAAAGCAGGCTTCTGCATTTGGCCTGAGCTGGAAGGGAATGAGCAATGGTGCTAATTGTGAAGCCGACAGGAGAGGCTGGGGGTAGGCAGCCGAGAGAGAAATCATCTTGTGATACGCCAATTACTGATCAGCTGGGACATAATTGCGGGCCTGCCATCCCGGCTGCTGGAGGTACCAGGCCTCCCTCACGTTAATCAATGATAATCCAGAATTACGACCCTTAATGATTTGCAAAGACACTTATGCACACACGCACACATGCTCTCATACGAACACAAGTAATTGATAATCAACCATGTAATCTGAGGCAATAATTCTGTCTGGGATAGATGACAGGCTCCACCTTGTCAGCAGAACAGAGCCCAAATCACAGCAGACCCCTGCAATGGGTGGAAGATTCTCCGGGGGAGGGGGCTTCTTTCCTCCTCCAGTGTAGGTATTGAAGGGACCTCCGATTGTCTCTAGGCCGTGGTATATGGTGGTTTTTGTTTCCTATTTTTATTTATCTATATTTTCTGAATTTTGTACGTTATTATTAGCAGCATTTAAAAACATCATTGGCCAGGCATGGTGGCTCATGCCTGTAATCCCAACACTTTGGGAGGCTGAGGTGGGCAGATCACGTGAGTCCAGGAGTTTGAGATCAGCCTGGGCAATAGAGTGAAACACCATCTCTACAAAAAATTAGCCAGACATGGTGGCACATGCCTGTGGTCCCGGCTACTCATGAGGCTGAGGTGGGAGGATCACTTGAGCCCAAAAGGAGGAGGATGCAGTGAGCCATGATCACAGCACTGCACTCCAGCCCGGGCAAGGAAGTGAGACCCTGTCTCCATAAAAGATAATAAAAAATAAAATGCATATATACTGAAGTAAA
The DNA here is from genome assembly GCF_000001405.40 of Homo sapiens. Classification (NCBI taxonomy): domain Eukaryota; kingdom Metazoa; phylum Chordata; class Mammalia; order Primates; family Hominidae; genus Homo; species Homo sapiens. The sequence continues at coordinate 77,057,636 of NC_000014.9, read as the reverse complement.
AATTATATAACTACTACATGCACAAAAAGACATCTACAAGGATTTCAAGACAGCATTTTAGTAATAGCCAAAAACTGAAAACAACCTAAAGGTTCGTCAAGAGGGAAATGGTTAATGGTGTTCCATTTCTACCATAGAATACTATGCAAGAGTTAAAAAGAATGAGGCTGGCCGGGCGCGGTGGCTCATGCCTGTAATCCCAGCACTTTGGGAGGCCGAGGAGGGCGGATCACGAGGTCAGGAGATCAAGACCATCCTGGCTAACACGGTGAAACCCCGTCTCTACTAAAAATACAAAAATTAGCCGGGCGTGGTGGCATGCACCTGTAGTCCCAGCTGCTGGGGAGGCTAAGGCAGAAGAATGGCGTGAACCCGGGAGGCGGAGATTGCAGTGGGCAGAGATCGCGCCACTGCACTCCAGCCTGGGTGACAGAGCAAGACTCTGTCTCCAAAAAAAAAAAACAAGAATGAGGCAGACCTTCGTGTACTGAGAAAGGGCACAGAGTGCAAGAGGGCCATTCTCTGGGTCACAGAGGATCCTGCTTGCCTCACCCTGCTCCTGACCCTGCCAGGATATATGGATAGGTGAAAGAAGCAAGTCAAAGAACAACAAAGCCTGGGCAACATAGGGAGACCCCATCTCTACTAAATAAATAAATACATAAATAAGCCTGGTGCTATGGAGCACACCTGTGGTCTCAGCTACTCGGGCTGAGGCAGGAGGACTGTGTAAGCCCAGGAGATCGAAGCCGCAGTGAGCTGTCATCGTGCCACTGCGCTCCAGCCTGGGCAACAGAGTGAGACCCTGTCTCACAAAAAATTAAATTAAATTAAAAACAAAAATAAAGGCCGGGCATGGTGGCTCACGCCTGTAATCCCAGCACTTTGGGAGGCTGAGGGAGGTGGATCACCTGAGGTGGAGAGTTTGAGACCAGCCTGGCCAACATGGTAAAATCCTATCTCTACTAAAACTATAAAAATTAGCTGGGTGTGGTGGCGGGCACCTGTAATCCCAGCTACTCGGGAGGCTGAGGCAGGAAAATCACTTGAACCCAGGAGGCGGATGTTGCAGTGAGCCAAGATCGTGCCACTGCACTCCAGCCTAGGTGATAAAGCAAGATTCTGTCTCAAAAAAACAAAACAAACAAATAAAAACATCATTGCCATTGCTATATTGGATTGGGCAAAGGATGGGAGAAGAGGGAGCCAGAGCAAGGAGTGCTTGTGATGGAGCAGCCAGGCTGCAAAACATCATTGCCATTGAATCTGGGCTGATCTGGTGTCTTGCTTGGGGCAGTAGAAGTGGTGGAAGTGACACTGTCCCAACTTCAGGGCTAGTCCCTAAGTCTGGCAGCTTCTGCTTTCATTCCCTTGGATGAAATATAATTCCCAGCTGCCATGTAATTAATCCAGTTGACCTGAAACCACCATGCTGACCACGTGGAGAGGCCATGCAGAGGAGCGCTGAGGTGCCAGGCCTGTAAGTGACGCCTTCTTGGCCCTTCCCTCCCAGTCCAGCTGCCAGCTGAATGCAGCTGAGTGACCCCAGCTGACACCACATGGAGCAGAAGAACCACCCAGCCAAGCCCTGCCCAAATTCCTGACTCACAAAATCATGAGAAATAATAAATTGCTGTTTTAAGCCACTAATTTTTATTTACTTTTTCCTTTTTTATTTTTTATTTATTTATTTTTTTTTGAGATGGAGTCTTGCTCTGTCTTCCAGGCTAGAGTGCAGTGGCGCAATCTTGGCTCACTGCAACCTCCACTTCCCAGGTTCAAGTGATTTTCCTACCTCAGCCCCAAGAAGCTGGGACTAGAGGCCCTGCCACCACATCTGGCTAATTTTTGTATTTTTAGTAGAGATGGGGTTTCACCATATTAGCCAGGCTGGTCTTGAACTCCTGACCTCAGGTGATCCGCCCGCCTCGGCCTCCCAAAGTGCTGGGATTGTAGGCGTGAGCCACTGTGCCTGGCCTTAAGCCACTAATTTTTGAAAGTCAATTGTTATGATCTTGTTCTGATACACACAAGATCAGGAAGCGTGACAGGCCTCAATTTCCTGATCTGTAAAATGAGAGTTAAATGAGATCATGCATCTAAAACCCCATGCCTGGGGCCTGGCACCTTGCCTGTGCTTCACTGAGAATCTATGATTCTCAGCCAAACAATGCCACGATTCTGTACCCATGCTCTGCCCTGACTGAGTGATGGCCACGCAGACCGTGTTGTTCCAGGTCCTCAGATGAACAGCCATCATTCTCCTCTAATGGAAATGGCCTGTCACCATGGCAGCACCCTGGCTAAGAGCAGTGGCTTCTAAACCAGATAAGCATGGATGTAAGCCCTTCTCTGTCGGTTTCTAGCTTTGTGACCTTAGGCAAGTTATTGACTGTCTCTGAGTCTTGGTTTCTTCACCTGAAAAGAGAAGAAGTCAGCCAACCTCCCTCTCCAGGAAATCTACCCTGATTAGCCTCTCCCCACCATATTTCTCTAAATAGAGCTTTGTCATGGCTTGTTTACAAGACAGGTATTAGTTTCAAAACTTTAAGAAAAGGGATGAAATTAACTATATTGGTTGGAAAAGGGGATTGGGGGACCCCTGACCATAATTTATTAATAATAGAGCCCAACACCTCCTGCCTCTTCCCATCGCCTCTCTCCTTGTTCCCACTAGGACAGCCTCTCTGACCATGCTTCAGTATCTTTGAGTTTGCCATTTCTTCTGCCTGGAACCCTCTTCTACCAAATAGCTTCATAGCTCACTCTCTCATCTCCTTTTGGTCTTTATTTAAATGTTACTTTTTCAATGAGACGTTCCCTGACCACCCCATTTAAAATCCCCCACTCATTTTGGGGCACCCTCTTTTTTGCTTTAGTTTTCTCCATAACACATATTACCCTCAAACATCATGTTTATGTTACTTGCTTATTTACTTTTCTATCCCAGACTCCCCCCTGCCCCCCCCACACAAATGTATGCTCCAGTGGGGCAGGATTTTGTGTTTGTGTTTGTCTATTTTGTTTACTAATATTGCCCTAGTACCTGGCTATAGCTCAAAGTTTGCTATATGAGTGTGTACAAAAGCACACGCACCCATACATATCCTGAGCGTGGGGTGAAACTGTGGACATCTTGAAAGAATAAGCTGGACCCGACTTGGGTTGTGTGTTGATAGGGGTGTTAAAGCATTCCTCCAGCATCAACTGGCTTCCAATCCTCACCTTTGCTGTGTGTGTGTGTGTGTGTGTGTGTGTGTGTGTGTGTGTGTGTGTAATGAAGGCCATGGGGAGTAGAAAATTGGATGTTAATAAAAAGTCATCAAGAACATATTTCCTATCCTCTTCTAGCCCTTAAAGCCCTACCAACCATGAAGGATTTGCCCAGTGGTCTGGGGGAGAACAGGAATCCGGGCAGGCGATGGTTCCTACCAGGTTGGCACTGAGGCTAACCAGTCCAATTAATTTAAGGAGAAATACCCATGTGTCACCTGGAGAGAAAGTTGCAGGGTAACTGCACGATCCTCCCACATCCACTCTGATGACCTCTCATTAGAGGTTAGGGCTCTATCATTGCCCTGGAGCAGAATGGCTTGGGGCGGGGGTCTTCCGGGGTTCCTGGTAGATGGAGAGCCTGGGGAGATTGGCATGACAGGGTCCCTTCAGAATGAACCAAATGAATGACAGCCCAGGCTCAAAGGGATGAGGTTTCCTTTGAGAAGAGATGGCTGTTGGTGGTGACTGTTAGTTCCTACTAATGACAGCGACCTTGAAATCCATACCCAGGGTCTCTACCCTCTGGTTTGAGGGGAAGGAGTAGAGAAGTCTTCCATGCTACAGATGAGAACCTGAAGCTCTGAGGGATTATGTTCTCTGTCTAAGATTACCGCAAGTCCACGATGCCAGGACCTTTGTTCATTGCTATATCCCGATGCAGAACCATTTCTGTTGAATGAATGAACATTCAAGCAGATATTGATAGTCTCTGGGCTTGAACCCATGCGTGGTCGACACCAAAACTAGTTGGCTCCAAAAACCTAGCTTATCTTTCACTCATTTTGCATCCCTCCCAAAGCCTGGCGGGGTACCTGACACCTGGGGGGTGATCTGTGAATATTGGGTCAATTGACCCGGCAGCAGCAGGTGGTGCTAACACGAACCACCTGAAGACCCCCAGCGGACAGGCGGGACCTCTGCTCGCAGCCAGCAGGGGGCGCGCACACATTGTTTTCCAGTGGGCTCACCTCCCCAGGCCCCCTTTGCAATCCTGTCCCGACGAGTGGTGTATTAGACAGAAAGGGCCCTCCCTCAACCAGCCTGTTTTATGTCAGGAGGCTTCAAATTATGCGGTCTTCCCCAGCAGGCAGCCCTCTGGGACGTGTGGCTCCTACACCAGGCGCTGTGCTAGGCCCTTGACACGCATTATCTCATTTCATCATCTGAGGTACTGATATCAATTTTACAAATGAGACTACTAAAGTGCTATTTTTACCCATTTTACAAATGAGAATACTGAGGCTTGGGGTTGTTCAGGGACTCGTACCCCTCTACCCTTGAGGCCTCGCCTCTTTGGGGTGGTGGGACCCTAACAAGTCCTGGCAGAGGCCTGAGCTTCTGGAGAGGGCCAGATGGGAAAGACCACTTCTCAGAAGAGGAATGGCTCCTGCCCGGGTTCTTCTCCAGTTCCTGCCTCCTCATGGTTTGTCACTGTTTCCCAGAGCTCTGGGCAGACACCTTGGGCAGGCCTGCCAGCTCCATGCTGTGCCACAGGGCAGCCAGGGACACTCCCTCCTGGTGTCAATTCCAGACACCTGGCACACACTGGGGAGTGTCCTGGGTGGTGTTGGTGGTGGTGGGAGGAGAGAAGGCTTCCTAGCATGTCACAGTAGGGCCAACTAGCCCACCCTCTTTGCCATTTTACATGCAAGGAAACTGGCCCAAAGGGGAGGCCCCTGGCCCAGGGGCTTGTCACGGCAGAGCCAGGGCTGGAACCCAGCTCTCTGGATTGCCAGTCTTTCTTCAGGCGCTAGCAGATCATGTTCTCTGAGGCCTGGAATTGCCTCCTTCCTCACATCCACCTCTCTCCCCACCCCTGCCATGTGCCATGAGCAATCCTGCCCATGCTGCCCTAGGCCCGGCTCCCTGCCCCTCTTCCGGGGAGCCTTTGCCATCCTGAGTTAGAACCACTTGTTCTCTTTAGTCTGTAGCAAGTGTGTCTGTCTGTTCCTGGGTGACTCGCCCCATCTCCGCAGCTGATCTCTGAAACAAGTGCCAAGGGGTAGGACAGTACAATGGACGAGGCACTGGGCTTGACTTTGAACCTGAGTGGGCCTCCAACTTGCTGTGTGACTGAGGGAGGTCATTTCACCTCTCTGGGCTTCTATATCCCCCCCTGGTCTGGGTCAGGGTTGTTTGGATGTTATCCATGGAGTCTCTGACTCAAGGCAGAGTGGACAGGACCCTATCCCTGCCCTAGATTAAACTGCAGCAGTCTTTTTTTCTTTCTTAAATACTTGGGCTTTGGAGTTCTGAGGCACCCAAGTTTAAAGGCCATTCTGAGGTCCTTTCTACTCTGATCTTGCTCTCGGTATCTCTCACCCCACCCCACCATTAGCCAGGAGGAATATGGCATCTTACATAAAGTATTCTCAATAAAGATTTGGTGAACAGACTTGAGCGTCAGTGGCCAGGCGCGGTGACTTATGCCTGTAATCCCAGCACTTTGGGAGGCTGAGGTGGGTGGATCACCTGAGGTCGGGAGTTTGAGACCAGCCTGGCCAACATGGTGAAACCCCGTCTCTACTAAAATTATAAAATTAGCCGGGCGTGGTGGTGCATGCCTGTAGTCCCAGCTACTTGGGAGGCTGAGGCAGGAGAATCACTTGAACCCGGGAGGCAGAGGTTGCAGTGAGATGAGATCACGCCACTTCACTCCAGCCTGGGCGAAAGAGCGAAACTCTGTTGCCAAAAAAAAAAAAAAAAAAAAAAAAGAATTGAGCATCGAAGCAGGGCTGTGCTGAACCCAGCTCAACAGGGGAGGGGCAAGCAGGAAAGGAGACCCTGGAACAAGCTTCTAAGGTGAAGGCGGCCTTTGAGAAGGCAGCTGAGGCTGCCTTGAGTTTGTGGCTTCTGCTCCCCATCTCTTCCACGTTCCTTCCTGACTCGTCCCTGAAGTGAGCCACCGCCTCTCCCACGCCCTGCTGTGGGTGCCACAATGTCCTTGCACAAACCCTGCCCTGTCCCCTGCTGCCAGGGCCGCCCACACAGCTGGACGGACATGAGTCTGGCAGACACTGGTGTGGCTGAGCTCTCCTGGAACGAGGTTCGAAAGGGCTGTGGGGCTGGCAGGGAGCAACACTCCATGGCCTGGTCAGCTGGCCAAAAGCCAGGCAGCCCCCAGAGGCAGCCCCACCCGAGCTGGAGAGGTCTGCTGGGCTTCTCTGGGTCTCTCAGGGAGGACGGACTTGGTGTGCTTTTGGCAAGTCAAAGGCCCTGCTTTACGTTGTGTGGGTATGATGGTTCTGCTTTCAAATCTTGGCTCCTCCTGGAGCTACAAATTATACGCTAAAGTCTGGGCTCAGTGGTTCATTCCTGTAATCCCAGCACTTTGGGAGGATGAGGAGGGTGGATCACTTGAGGCCAGGAGTTCGAGACCAGCCTGGCCAACATAGCAAAATCTCGTCTCTACTAAAAATACAAAAATTAGCCGGATGGTGTCACACGCCTGTAATCCCAGATACTTGGGAGTCTGAGGCACAACATCGCTTGAGCCTGGGAGGTGGAAGTTGCAGTGAGCAGAGATCGTGCCACTACACTCCAGCCTGAGTGACAGAGCAAGACTCTGTCTCAAAAAAAAAAAAAAAAAAAAAAAAGTACACTCTTGCCTTTATCCTGTAGCAGGGCTTCCATGCCCCAGGGTAATTAAGGACCACCCTAATTGTACAAGCGTGGCCACTTACAATTAGAAAAGCCTGTATATGCAATGTCTAATTCTGAGCCGGGTAAGAAAAGGCATTAGAAGTAAAAAGGAGAACCATTGTTACAGCCCCAAGAAGTTCCATTAGGACATTTACTAACATAATGTTTGAATTTCATCGTCATTGTCATCTTCATCGTTCTAGCACCCACCCACTTCTGAACTGCTCTAACCTTTATTACCATCTGCCATGTTCTCTGGACCACTCTTCATAGTCATTCGTGCATTCATCCCAGAACATCTCAGCAGGAGAGTCTTCAATCTTTGAGAACCTACTATGTGCCAGACCCTGTCAGGCACTTTTTCAATTTTTTTTTTTTTTTTTTTAGACAGAGTTTTCCTCTTGTTGCCCAGGCTGGAGTGCAATGGCGTGGTCTCTGCTCACTGCAACCTCTGCCTCCCAGGTTCAAGTGATTCTCCTGCCTCAGCCTCCCAAGTAGCTGGGATTACTGGTGCCCATCAGCATGCCCAGCTAATTTTTATATTTTTAGTAGAGACGGGGTTTCACCATGTTGGCCAGGCTGGCCTAGAACTCCCGACCTCAGGTGATCCACCCGCCTCAGCCTCCCAAAGTGCTGGGATTATAGGCATGAGCTACCTCGCCTGGCCAATTTTACTTTATTTAGTCATCACAGCAACCCTGCGAAGTTGATTGTTAGGATGCTTTTGGCTGCAAGTCACAGAAACCTTGGTTCCACTGGATCGAGCCAGGGGTCCCTCACTGAACAATGAAGGAATTGATGGAAATAGTCCAGATGTGGGTGGCTCCAGGGCAGAGTAATCCAGCTGCTGAACTGTGCCACCAGACTAATGTTCTTTCCACATTTCCTTCCATTCTATCATCTCTCTTTTTTTTTTTTTTTTTTTTTTTTTTTTTTGAGACGGAGTCTCGCTCTGTTGCCTACGTTGGAGTGCAGTAGCGCGATCTCCGCTCACTGCAAGCTCCGCCTTCCGGGTTCACGCCATTCTCCTGCCTCGGCCTCAGCTGGGACTACAGGGGCCCGCCACCATGCCCGGCTAATTTTTTGTATTTTTAGTAGAGACGGGGTTTCACCATGTTAGCCAGGATGGTCTCGATATCCTGACCTCGTGATCTGCCCACCTCGGCCTCCCAAAGTGCTGGGATTACAGGCGTGAGCCACCGCACCCGGCCTCCATTCTATCATCTTTAGTGTGTTGACTTAGTTCTCTGAATGGCTGCCTTCATCATAGCAAGATGGCTGCTGTAGCCCCAGCCATCATCACTGCAGACACACATACAGCTACAGAAAGACAATTGTTTGGCTGGGCGCGGTGGCTCATGCCTGTAATCCCACCATTTTGGGAGGCCGAGGTGGGTGGATTACCTGAGGTCGGGAATTCGAGACCAGCCTGGCCAACATGGTAAAACCCTGTCTCTACTAAAAATACAAAAATTAGCTGGGCATGGTGGCAGGCGCCTGTAATCCCAGCTACTTGGGAGGCTGAGGCAGAAGAATCGCTTGAGCCCCAGAGGTGGAGGTTGCAGTGAGCTGAGATCCCGCCACTTCACTCCAGCCTGGGTGACAGAGTGAGACTGTGTCTCAAAAAAAAAAAAAAAAAAAAAAAAAAAAAAAGAAAGAAAGACAATTGTTTCTCTCTCTCTCATGTTTTAAGATTGAGAAAATATGGCCAGGCGCGGTGGCTCACGCCTGTAATCCCAGCACTTTGGGAGGCCGAAGCGGGCGGATCACGAGGTCAGCAGATCGAGACCATCCTGGCTAACACGGCGAAACACCGTCTCTACTAAAAATACAAAAAATTAGCCGGGCGTGGTGGCGGGCGCCTGTCGTCCCAGCTACTCGGGAGGCTGAGGCAGGAGAACCGCGTGAACCCGGGAGGCAGTGCTTGCAGTGAGCGGAGATCGCGCCACTGCACTCCAGCCTGGGCGGCAGAGCAAGACTCCGTCTCAAAAAAAAAAAAAAAGAAAAAAAAAAAAAGATTGAGAAAATATGAAAATATTTCCTAAAACAAGCCCCCAACTCCCATGTCTTATTCACCAGAACTCGGTCACAGATCCATCCCCAAAGTGTTAGCAAGGGGGATGGGATGCTAAGATTAGCTCAGACTAATTGGGATTTCCCCCCAAGGCACGTGGAACTGAGGGGTGTGGGACTCCTGAAACAAATTCAGGGCACTAAGGAAGAAAGCAGGAGTGACTACTTTTTAGCAATCAACAGTGTCTGCCTCATGGGTAATTAATGTTATCTTCATTTTACAGGTGGGAAAACTGAGGCTGAGATAAAGTAATGACTTAATGGCACAGTAAGAGACCAAGTTACGATTTCAACCCAGAAATACTTGATTCCAAAGCCCCAACTCTACTGCATGATATACTAAGCACTATTATATCTCTACTTCTGAGTAGAATGCTCCAAGATTTTGCTGGGACAGGAAGGGTATAAATAGTACATACATACATACACTTCCATATTATTTTGGTGACAATAAAATTACGTCATAAAAATGTATATTTAGGCATGTTTAATTGACTAGCCTTTATTTAGGGGCTTCTAGAGGCATTCGGGATAGAATGGCCCCAGCATTGAACTTCATTGAGTCCCCAGTGAGGCAGTGTGAACAGATAACTACAACTTTTTTTTTTTTTTTTTTTTTGAGACAGAATCTCACTCTTTCTCCCAGGCTGGGGTGAAATAGTGCGATCTCAGCTCACTGCAACCTCCGCCCCGGGGTTCAAGCGATTCTCCTGCCTCTGCCTCCCGAGTAGCTGGAATTACAGGCGCCCCACACCCGGCTAATTTTTGTATTTTTAGTAGAGACGGGGTTTCACCATGTCGGCCAGGCTGGTCTCGAACTCTTGACCTCAGGTGATCCATCTGCCTCAGCCTCCCAAAGTGCTAGGATTACAGGCGTGAGCCACCACGCCCAGCCAACTACAACTCTTTGTGATAAATGCAGATTGCAATTGAAGCACAGAGCTGGGAAATGCCAGAGACTATTTTCACAGGAAAGGTAAAAACTGAGCTGGGTTTTGAAGGATGCATAGAAGTTTGCTCAAAAAACAAGAGGGAGAAAACATTCTTTGTAGGTAGAGAAAAGAGCCCCGTAAAGGCACGGGGCTTCAAAGTTCATATTGTGTTTAAGGAACAAGAGGAATTCAATGTGGTTAGAAATTAAGAAAAAGGAAGAGGCAAAAAGAGGAATTGGAGGCAATTTCCCAGAGGCCTTGTGTTCCAAGCTAAGGAGTTTGTCTTGATCCTGTAAGGCGCCTGGAAAATTTTTATTTATTTATTTTTATTTTTTATTTTTTTGAGATGGAGTCTCGCTCGGTCGCCCAGGCTGGAGTGCAGTGGTGCGATCTCGGCTCACTGCAACCTCTGTCACCTGGGTTCAAGCGATTCTCCTGCTTCAGCCTCCTGAGAGGCTGAAATTACAGGTGCGCACCACCACGCCCAGCTAATTTTTGTATTTTTAGTAGAGACGGGGTTTCACCGTGTTGGTCAGGCTGGTCTCAAACTCCTGACCTCGTGATCCACCCTCCTTAGCCTCCCAAAGTGCTAGGATTACAGGCGTGAGCCACCACACCCTGCCTTAAAGCAATGTTGTAAGGCAGGTTTAGGCTAAATTACATGAAATTGCCAATATTTGATGTGTCTAACAATGAAAACAGATGAGGAAGCCTGGAGGTGCAGAAACTTGGCACAGGTCACAAAGTCTCATGAGTCAAGAATCAAACCCAGATCTGTCTGATAAGGCCTCTAGAGTCAGGCAACCCTGAGTTCAAACTTCAGCCAACACTTACTAGCTGTGTGTCCTAAGATAACGTTATTTAACCTTTCTGAGTTTCAGTTGCTTCATCTATAAAATGGGGACGATAACTGAATCCACTTCATTAAGTGTGGATTAGAAGAGATAATGCATTGAAACAGCCAGCACAATGTCCAACACATAAGAGGTGCCCAATAAATGTCAGCCTTGCCTATCATCATTGCTATTAATATCCTAAAGTCTGGGCTGTTAAGCACCTTCCCAACCTGCTGTAGGAAAGATGCTTTCCGGAGTCGGTATGTCCCTGGGTAGAAAGGAAGGAGATTTTACTGCCAGAACCACGACAGTGCTGCTGGTAACAGTCTTCAAACTAACGGGGCGAGGAGAGCTGGGAGCTGTGTCCTCTAGTTTCTATCACCACAACCCTCTGATTGTTTCACCTCTCCTGAGGTTCTCCTGGCCACAGTGGGTGCAGCAGCCCTACCATTGCAGAGTGGCTGGCAGCTCTGCCCTCGCCCAGGGCATTCTCCTTAAGGAGCAACTTCTGTCTCCTTTGCCCGTGAACCAACCTGAATGAAGTGTATTTCCAGGAAATATAAGCTGCCTTTGCTTTCAAGAGTCACATCTGGCCAGGTGCAATGGCTCACGCCTGTAATCCCAGTACTTTGGGAGACCAAGGTGAGCAGATCACCTGAGGTCAGAAGTTTGAGACCAGCCTGGCCCAATGGTGAAACCCCATCTTTACTAAAAATACAAAAATTAGCCAGGCATGGTGGCGTGCGCCTGTAATCCCAACTACTCGGGAGGCTGAAACAGGAGTATCACTTAAGCCCAGGAGGTGGAGATTGCAGTGAGCCAGATCATGCCACTGCACTCCAGCTTGGGCGACAGAGCAACACCCTGTTTCAAAAAAAAAAAAAAAAGCCACATCTATCAGTGATGGGTCCTGCAGGTCCCCCTTGCTCTTGTACCTCATCTATGCACACCTCCCCAGTAGCTTTCTGGTTTTGTGTATAGACAGATGTTTCTGATATATGCGTGCATGCAGTTCTGTGTGTGTTTTCTGGGCTCAAAAGCATCTGCGCTGGCACAGGCTGAAGGCTGGCACCACCCTTGGCAGCAATAGCCCAAGGACACTTTTTTGTCCATTGCATTCCATGTCTGGGTGGGGCCCCTGCCTGCTGGGTAAGTATTGACTCCCTGCACTTTTCCATCTATATCTTGGAGTGTTCTTTTGGCAGAAACTACAAGTGCTGCTAACTTGAGAGTCCAAACCCCAGCACCCAGCTGTTCTCAGCATATCTCCCTGAGATGGGGTGCTTGGGCTCACGGACTGACATCATGGCAGCTGCCATAATAAAACACTGAAGGGGTGGGGAACAGGCAGGCTCACTAAGCCACACCTTGCTTTCAGAACTTTTGGATGTCCACAGATCTTTTTAGCACTGTCTGCCCTCTTTTGTGGCTGCATTCTTGCACAAGACCTGGTTGCCCCTAGCTTCGTCTCTCTGAAAAACATGTTCAGCTCCCTCCAGAGAAAACTCAGAAACTCCTATGCATTTTCCTGGAATCATTCTATAGCTCCAGCCTGGGAAAGCTTCCAAAAGTTTCCTGAACCAAAGATAATAATAATAAAAGAGGTGAGGGAGGGGAGAATCGTGGGCACACAATTCTGTTGATTAATGTGCAAGGGAACAGACTAGGATTGTAGGGAAAGGAAAAAGAAAGGCTTTTCCAGGTCAGTTTAAACATTTGTGTTGTCTTCTTTAAAGGCAATTTCAAAATAGTTGGCCTCCCCAAAGCGATTTTTTGGAATCTACCCAGAGGGCAGAAAATGAACCCTTCCTTCCCCCATCTGGAAAGTCTTCACACCAGTGGCCCCACTCATTCCTGAGCTCTGGCTTTAGAAGGACTTTCCCAACCTTCCAAGATTCCCTGCCCTCCCTCACCCGCTGACCTATAGGGAGTTATGTTTGCTCCACCCCAAGCAGCTGCATTCCAGCTGTGGAGCTATTATGAAACATTTAGGAATCCTCTGGCTAGAAAGGTAAATGAGGAATATGCCCTAATGACAGCTGAAGGCTGGCTAAAATCTGTAAACAGAGAAGCAGCAAGGAACAAATGCTTGACAGAGGATTCCCTTTACAATTCTATTGTGCAGAAGAGTCAGCTGTTAACTTACAGAAGACCTTCTAGATGGTCTCACAGATAAAAGTGCTGATCAGCTTGACCCCCTACTGTGAATCGCAAGAAATGAAATTCAAACCTATTTGTGAAGATTCAAAAATATTTTCACTTACTCATGATCTCTCATCTTTTTAATTAAAGCACAACATCTTGCTCAAAACAAGCCTTTGAAACAACAAAATAAACAGAACCTTAATTTAGGGATTTGCCAACTGATCTTGACTACTGCTGGCAGGTTATAGCAGCCAGTTAGAAGCAGAACATGGGGTTCCCTGCCCTTCCGAAGATGGTGTCTGCCTGAGGACTCAGAAAAGAGGGGGGCCACAGAGACCCATGAGGATCCTTGAAATACACAGAAGTTGGCCAGACAGGGCAGGGCTGAGCAAATGGCTTTTTAGGCAGCTGAGGCCCTCTGCAGCTGTCAGAACAACTGCCACCAAGCTCTCCTGGTTGAGGTTGCAGCAAGTGCTGCAGTGTTGACCTTATCTTCCGAGACTGCGTTGTGGACACTCAGGTTAACGGCAGTCCACCTTACTATCTAGTTCTAGAACAGTCAGCGGCACCTGCCTAGCTACACGCTGTCTCACCCAAACCATTTCATTTCCTGGGTCTTGCGATTCTGGACTTTTCCACTAGCAACAACTGCCATCCAGCCAGACAGCAACAATGAACCACCACAGGTATGCTTTGAGAATCCAGTATCCAGGGTGGGGAACTCCATATAATCCTCCATTCACGCATGGTGCTAAAAGCAGATATGGAGAATTAGTAGAAGAGGTGCCCTGTGTCCCAGGGGGCCGCCCAGCCACAGTGAAAGCATCTCTCTCTCCCCACTTCTTCCTGCTCCAGTCGTTCTACCTCAAACACTCCCTACAGAGCACCTTTTAACACCTCTGGAGCCACCACTGCCACGTCACCCCTCACCCCCACCCACTGGCCTAACCACCCAATTCTCAGCCAGGTCTTTTGCAGAGCACAGCCTCCATGGTTGCCATGGAGGGTTTCTCCCCCCAGCAGTACCCCTTGGGGCTTTGAGACCCTATAAGGAAAGCACCAGGAAACCCCAAAACATTCTCCCTCCTGAAAACAATGGTTCCCAGTGTCTATGCCAGACACACTCACACCACCCAAAATAGACTCATTGTCCTCTTGCACAACATCCAGGAATTTGGTGAAACTCATCATTTTTCAGGTTACCGATAATGCAAGTTTGGAAACTGAAACAGGAAGGAACACAGGCTGAAAAGCTTTTATCCAGCCCACAGCATTTCTCTCTCCAGATGCAAGATAGTTTTTTTTTTTTTTTTCCCAGCAGTACTTTGGTGGGGTTAAAATTAGCTGGCAGCATTCTGGTCACATGCTAGACAACAAAACAAAAGGGAGTTGTTCCCCCTGCCGCTCCTGAACTGGCCCACGACAGAGTTTCCTAATCCATGGATTTCTGGGAAGCTGGCTCTCCGGGCCCTGGTATGGAGGGGCTACACCAAGGACTCCCCTCCGGTTATCATCCCTGCTATAATGGGGCGACACAGACGAGGTCAAGGCTGTTTGGAATCTTGGAGCTTGCCTCGATCTGGAAAGGCACTCAAGGGTCCAAAATGGCTTTTGTAAATCTTCTCACCAAAGCCAACAAAGAAGCAAACACTACAAAAACACTGAGAGAGAGAAGGGTAACATCTGACACATGAACATGGGCATCCATTGACTTGTGGGGTGGTGGCTGCTCTTGGCATGATTAAAAAAAAAATAGCCGGGTGTGGTGGCTCATGCCTGTAATCCCAGAAACTTTGGGAAGCTGAGGAGGGCAGATCGCCTGAGGTCAGGAGTTCGAGACCAGCCCGGCCAACATGGCAAAACCCTGTCTCTACTAAAAATACAAAAAAAGTAGCCAGGCATGATAGCACGTGCCTGTAATCCCAGCTACTCGGGAGGCTGAGGCAAGAGAATTGCTTGAACCCGGGAGGCGGAGGTTGCAGTGAGCTGAGACTGCCCCACTGCACTCCAGCCTGGGCGACAGAGGAAGACACCGCCTCAAAAAACAAAACAAAACAAAAATAAATAAATATAATACATCTGGGCTAGAGGTGGCGAACATTTAGGATAGATTCTGTATCTCTTGACCTTGATGACAGGGACATGTCAGGGTCTGCTTTGTTCATCCAGCTTAAAACTGTCACCAGAAGCCCTGGATAAAAATGCAGCCTCTGATTCACACACGGTCAGGAAACATGCCTTGTGCTCAGTACAGAAACATGTCCGTCAACCTGGGAAAGGAATCACCACCACGAAATATGCTTTTGGCTTGCCAAAGCTTAGCAGCTGTGAGAGCCAAAAACCCAGCTGCCTGGACTGTCTGGGGAAGTTGGCGGGAGGGAGGGGGGGTTGCTTTCTGAATCACCTGATTTCTGCCTCTAACTCTAGTTTAATTCCAAGTCGAAACCTATCTTGAAATGTCTCAAGAGCCTACTGCTCCTAAAAATTGTAGGTTTTAGCTAACCCTTCAGCTCTGTGCCTGCTGGCAAGGTGAAGCAGATGGCGTTTGTTGATTATTTATTTGGAAGGGGCTACTTTGGAATCAGGAAATTCCAGCGAGACAGAGTGCATCGCCTTGGCCAGAGCTGCCGTGACAATCACGAGCAGACACCCAGAGACAGTCAAGTTCAAAGAAATTGCAGCTAAGCCCCAGGAACTTGGGGCATTTTCAGTCTTTCTCGTCTCCTGGCCTCCATGTTCACCATGCACTTAGGAAGAAATGTTTCGTTCAGTTCAACATTCTGTGGTCTTCAAGTGTTTGAATACAAGGGCCCACATTCAAGGTCCCGCTTTGTCAAAAGGGCTTCACGAAGCTAACAGGCCTCTGACTTGTGTTTCATCCTGAAGCCCCTCATTATACAGACAGATCAAAACAGAAATCCCCCCTGCCTTAATGCCCAGCACATAAAGTCCTCTTTAATTAACATACACCATTTTTCAGTGAAACAGCCTCAAGGTGTTAAAAGTGCATAAAGGTCTGAAAGCTGAAGCCCAAGATAAACAGTGTGCCGAAATATATTTAGCAGAAAATATTGAAAGCCACAGGAAAAATAAGTTCCCTTCCTGGGATGTTAACGAATGTTTAGGTTCAGGAAACCTTCAGGAAGTAGCGAGCCGAGAAGGAATACTGCTCACCGTTTTTACCCCCAATGTAAATAAATCACTAAACCTCTTTGGTTTCCATAGGCCTGGGCTGGAGTGGAATATTTCATTTTTTCCCCATTAAACAGGCCACCCGGAGTGTTGGCATTACAGGCCTGAAAATATACCAAATCTGAATGTGCTATTTTGTTTCTGTACATTAAATCAGACTGTGTTTCAAACGGCAGTTCGTGCTAAATGGGGGGCTGATGATCCAGACTGTGCACCCTCACACACCTGAAATTGGCGCAGCGTAAATGATAGATCTGTTTCACCTTGGATCTCCCCGTGTCTTGTCTCCTACAGGAACACACCCTCTGTCGTTGTTGCCCAAGGTGATGTCATGTTCATTCTAAAGGCCGCGGTTCCAAGGGGACTACACCACAAGAAGATGCCTTCAGAAAGACCCAGATTTCCTGCGGTCTCAGGTAGGCGGCAGGGAGCAAGAGAACAAGGAAAGGACCCGCCACCACTCTCCCCAAGATGGATGCTGCATGATGTAAGTGGCTGGCTAAAATATCTGGCATCCTTGCAGTTTTAAGTTGCCAGCTAAATATTATTAAAAAGATAAAATACACGCAAACTGTGCAGAATGCAGGGCTGCTGTGTTTACATCCGGGTTTTGATGACTCAAAGACTTACACTTGAGCTTGCTGAAAAGCCTCTATTAAAAATACCGCTTTGTGAAAGCCCCCAGGGAGCAGGAAGAAAGCTGGGGGTGTGAAAGAGGAGAGCGGGAGGATGGTGACCCACCCAAGGACGGCGCTGACACCTGTGCTCCGGGCTGGCACTTAAGGCCAAGGAAGTGCTTAGAGGTTAACCTCCTCTCACCCTCGGAACCAGAGCGGGGAGGGTTAACCTTTTTCCAGAACATTTATTTCACCATCTCACTGACTAGAGGGAGGAGGGGCGGGAGGGGGAGAACGAGAGCCTGCCGCGCAGAGAGGCTGCGGATCACAAGGCCATTCTGATAGCCTCCTGTCCCCATGGCAACTGCAACGGCATTTATCAGTTCCTTCTGCGCACAGGCACAGCAAATCTGCATTGCACATGGCAGGCTTCCAGCATTTCAAATGAAAGAGCACTTTGAACGGCTGCCAAGTTTGGAAGGAGCAGAACTGTCAGGGCTGCTTAAAGCTGGCAGTTTATACTGGGGAGGTTTTCGCTTCCCACAATTCTCCGGGCCTGGCGAGCCGCCAAGTACTTAGCGGAAGCTAAAAAGTAACTCGCTCCCCTCCCTCCCCTCCCCTCCCCCTGCTCACGCTCCCCCTCCACACTATTCACCGCAGTGCTCTCAAAATTTTCCACATGTCCTGTGTCACCAGTGCAGACTGTACAATGAAAACCAGAACGCCGGCTGCCCACGACCAGGCTTTTATTAATAAATAACGGAGGGAGGAGGAGGAGGGGTTGGGATCAGACACTGACAGCTGGGGCACCGGGTCTCCGCGTACCTGCCAAAACCCCATAACCACTGGGTGTGAATGCGTGTGGTGTGTGTGCCTTTCAGCCTTAAAAATACATTAATAAAAATAAAAATAAAGGGAGCCTCAGAGCTGTAGACACCCTGAGTACCAGGGGAGGAGGGGTGGGTTTCGGTTGGATGGTTTGGCGCTTTATTTAGGGTGGGAATGGAGGTCTTGCAGGCAGCGTTGTTCAGATCCAGCCTTTCTAAGATCTGTAGGGAAGAGGGTTGTTATTGAGAGCTAAGCCTGTTTCTGGAGCTTTCCTTGAATCTCTCAGATGTCATGGTGAAAGCTGTGAGGCCACAGATGGGGAGGGAGTTCGGAGATGCTTTTCAATGCAAAGTTTACCAGATAACTTCTGACCGTCACGCACAGCCCAGAGCACAAGGGCTTCTATGGGCAGAAAGTGGAAATTGGCATAGTATTCACTGTACTTTTTTTTTTTTTTTAATGAAAATCTACACTGAGATCAAGGGCTTGGGCTTTATTTTCCAGCACAAATAGAATGAAAATTGTCTGCCGCTTAGGCGGTTGGATAGAGTTCAGGAAAACTATGTCTGGCATTAATTCCAAAGTGGAGGTTTTGGTTCAAACGAGGCCCATTAATTTCAGTAAACTGTTTTCACTAGTCCAGACCCTGCTGTGCAAGGACTATTTATTACCTTTTGCTAACCTGATGTCTGCAGAGTTGTAAAGCAAAGGGGGAAAAATCCAGGGTGAAGATATCTATATTTTGCATCAAATGGGTTTTGCACTTCCCTTGGGGGGCCGTGTTTTATGGGGAGTTTTCTATCCTTGGCTTTTATCAGTGCCAATTTTTTAAAAAAAAACTCCATCTTGCAATGAATTAGAAAAAAAAAAATCCTGAAGGAGAGGAGCCTGGTGAGAGCAAATACCCATCTCCTGCCTCTTTCAGAAGGGCACCTCCCAGACACAGGGATGTTTCGTGTCCCTGTCTTCAGCTCCCAGGCTGCAGGTCCACTGCAAAGCCCTGACATGATTCACCCTGACGATCGGGTCTAAAATACACCAAGACAGTCAATTTTGGCATTTGTTCTCCCTTAGGAATTTTACTAGCTGCCGTAGAAAAGCACATAAATTCCTTCCCCCTCCCTCTCTTTTTTCCGTGCCTCCTCTCTTCATCCCTCCCCCCCCACAAGTCCATCTTGATGTCATTTCAAAGAGAAGGATGAAAAGGGGGGATTTGTCAGGCAGTCCGGTTTGAGTGTGTCTTGCCAGGCCCCAACGCGCGCTCGAGGGCGCGCGCGCGCACACACACACACACACACACACACACGCACGCACCAGCTGAGAATGTTAATCAGAATTAAAAGCCAGTCAGTACTATTAAAGCATCAAACATGAAGACCTAGAGAAGAAGGAAGGTAATTGGGGGTGGGGGTAGAGGGAGTGGGAATGAAGTAGAATTCCGTCTTCTGCACTGACTTACTAAAATTAAAGGAGGGGAGAGGCAGCGGTAACCCCGATTTGGTCACCTTGTCAAATGTATTGGTCTTTCCTTTTAACTATCCCCCCACCCCACATCTCCCCACCTTCCTACCCCCTACGCCTCACCCCTTCCCAACACAGTCAAGTTTTGTGCCATTCCCAAGTGTGATTAATCTCTGGCAGAGGCCAGAAACAGGAGTAGGTTTCTTGGCTGCCCGTTCTGATAAACAATCTGTTCTTGGGGAGAGTAGGTGAAGGGGACTGGCGGGGGAAGTGGGGGCGGTAATCTGCGGGCATGATGTGGGGTGGGGGTAGGAGAAGGAGGAAGAGGAGGGGGCAGCCTCCAGGCCGGCCCCAGCTAACCCTAGTAGAGGCCGCCCCCCCACCCGCCGGAAAATGCAAGTGCCCCTCCTTGGGGCGCGTGGTCTGGGGGTGAGTCAGGTTTCCTGCCCTTAAAAATGTGAGCAGACAGTATATGCTTTCTTGCTTGTCACTTCACAACGTCCAGGGAACGTCGGAGGGACATCAAGGGCCCAGGGAGAGGGAAGGAAGAGGAGGGGAGGAGAGAGGAGCCCGCGCATCCCTAGGCTTTGAACCCATTTCAAACGCTCTGGGCGTTGCAAACCAGGTGCGCTTGTGCACAGACTGCTTGTCCCAAAAGGAAACCGAGGCAACCACGGGGGAGGCTGGGTAGGGATGGTGGTGGTAAGAAGTATTTTAAAGCGGAACAAGGAAAGCCAGAAGATGTTTAAAACAAAAGGAGAGACTATTGTTCAGCGTCGGAGGTCGCTGGGATGGAAGCTGTAGGCAAGAAAGCTGGCTGCGGATTTTGCAGTGGGTTTATTGTGTGGGCAACCAGGCAGAAAGCGGGAATATGAAAAAGTGGGGAGGGGGAGAGTTGGCGTGAAGGAAAATCAGTGCCTAGAAAGCTGTGCACGCTGAAAATGTCACCAAGGAGAGGGCAGTGGCACCGAATAAAAGATGAATAATCGGCTACCTTTTGGAAAAAGCAATGTAAAAATATTAATAAAGGCGAGAAGCCCGCTTCTTCTCAGCCTGAAAAGCAAATCCATTTCTCACCTCCTGCCTCTCCTCCCCATCCCAACACACACAAAACACACACATACACACAGCTCTTCTCTGCCCTGCATCCAAGAAGCCTCGGCTAGGCTCGCTTTCCTTTGGATTTAATTACTCGAAAATGCTGAACAAAAACCTGTAATTACACCCTTAGTCCCTGCCACTCAGGCCCAGTACACTTCCTGCCTAGTTTTGTTTTTTAAAGAAGAGGTCATTGCCTCTTTTCTTTCCAAATTGGCCAAAACAAAAAAAAAAAGTAAAAGCCCTAAATAAATCCAACTGCTCCGAGCTTCACTGCCACCACCAGGGATTTGGGGAGGGGATATCCTTGTCTCTCTAGGAGAGATGAGAAACAAACAGCCTAACCTTGCTATTGTCTTTCTCCAGCTTTTAGGCCTAAAGCTTGTCATTGCTTGTTTGTCTGCCAGCCCAGAAGGACATGGACATGCTAGATTGGCCCCCCAGGAGGAGGCCCTCCAAGGGCAAGATGAAGAGAGTGGACAGGGCTTAGCGGCAGGCCTGGCTTTCCACCCATTTTACCTCGAAGGGCTTAGCGCTGGAAAAAAGATTTGTCACAGTGTCTCGCCTTTCTACAGCCCTAGGCATTAACATACAGAATTTCATAGCAAACCCCTGAAGTAGGGAGAACAGGTTTTAATATCAACCTTTGACAGGTGAAGAAATGGAGTCCCAGAGAGAATAAATAGATTGCTCTAAGTCAGTCATGTGGCTGGTGGGAGTATTGAAAAAGCTCTGCCTCTTATGACTTTTGGGCTATTGCATCAGGAAAGTAGGACACCTAGGAGGAAATGGAAGCTTCTAGATTCTGGGCTACAGCCAGTCTGGCTTGGTTCATCCAGCACTGAGATAGAAAGTGTTCCCTAAATAAATAGTTGAATAACTGAATGAATGGTAAATGGAAGGGCACTGGTTAGGGAGTTGGGGAACAGAAACCCACCAGGCCATCTGGTAGCCAAGTTTCAGCTTCGAAACAAAATGTAAGTACTGAGAATAGTTTCACACCAGGAACCTATCAAGCTTACTCTTCTGTGTACGGCCAGAGAGGGGAGTTCAGGTTAAAGTATGGTGGTCCTCTACATGTGTTGGAGGGGTCACTTTGTTTCCGGGCTTTCTTGCTCCAGTGATGCCTAGGCCAGATTTGATGTCAGAGCTATACACCTACCCTTGGCTAGAAGTGCTTTTTTTTTTTTCTCTTAAGAGATGAAGGCTGGGTGCGGTGGCTCACACCTGTAATCTCAGCACTTTGGGAGGCTGAGGTAGATTACCTGAGGTCTGGAGTTCGAGACCAGCCTGGCAAACATGGTGAAACCCCATGAAACAATATATACAAAAATTAGCCAGGCATGGTGGCAGGCACCTGTAATCCCAGCTACTTGGGAGGCCGAGACAGGAGAATCGCTTGAACCCAGGAGGTGGAGGTTGCAGTGAGCCGAGATTGCGCCACTGCACTCCAGCCTGGGCGTAGAGTGAGACTCCATCTCAAAAAAAAAGGTCTTGCTCTGTCACCCAGGGTGGAATAGTGGAATGCAGTGGTGTGATCATAGTTCACTGCAGTCTTGAACTACTCCTGGGCTCAAGTGA